>NC_000005.10:26671457-26974487 GCF_000001405.40 Homo sapiens | reverse complement strand
CACAGGACTATAACATTCTCTATAGTCCTATTGTAATCACGGCACTGATTAAACACAAGATAGGAGATCTCAAATGAACAGGCGAATATCTTTCAAACCTATAGAACTGCTTTGTTGGAATTCTACAAAGATAAAAAAAAAGCACCTATCATGTTTCTTTTAGTTATTTGTCTTCATAAGTACAAGCTCATTATTTTGCTTGCTATAGATGGCCTTTTTTAACTTCTTTCTTTTCTATTATTTTTTTAGATGGAGTCTCACTCAGCTGCCCTGGCTGAAGTGCAGTGGCGCAATCTCATCTCTGCAACCACTGTCTCCCAGGTTCAAGCGATTCTCTAGTCTCAGCCTCCTGAGTAGCTGGGAATACAGGCACCCACTATCATGCCCGGCTAATTTTTGTGTTTTAGTAGAGACGAGGTTTCACCATGTTAGCTAGGCTGGTCTTGAACTCCTGATCTCAGGTGATCTGCCTGCCTTGGCCTCCCAAAGTGTTAGGATTACAGACGTGAGCCATCACACCCAGCTATAGACAGCCTTTTCTTAACATGAATAAATGATCTTAACAAATAGAGCAGAGTAGGAAAAAAGTAAGTTTTAAAACATACTATGCAAGATAATTAAAATGGGGGCATATTAAAAAGCCTA
The DNA here is from genome assembly GCF_000001405.40 of Homo sapiens. Classification (NCBI taxonomy): domain Eukaryota; kingdom Metazoa; phylum Chordata; class Mammalia; order Primates; family Hominidae; genus Homo; species Homo sapiens. The sequence goes on along the minus strand of NC_000005.10, from coordinate 26,973,842 downwards.
GACTTTACATATTGTTTTGTTGATGTTTCACTGCATTTTAAAATATAAAAAGGCATTGTAAACACTGTTTTGAACCTTAAATGTGTTCATCATATTAAAAAAGAAAATGAGATAATAACACAAAAAGAAAGGAAATCCATTCAAATAAATATTTATTAACACGGGCTCCCTAACATGTATCAGGGCAGAGAGCGAGACACTCGAATTGGTGAAATTTCTTCTAGTTGGAATTACTCGAAAAGCTTTGGCCATGGAAGAGGTTGAAATTGACGAATAGTGTTATATAATTACATGTTTGCAATAAATTTAAATTCGGTCTTGAATTTCAAGTAACAACATCAGTTATTAATATGTCTTGTGCTGCTAATCTTCAAGGAACATCTTTTGTAAAAAAAAAAATACAAAATAAAATAGATACTAAAAAGGGGATTGTAAGCTAATGTACAAAAGAAAATGATACGTTCATGCAATCAGATACCTAGTGGGACCTTCCAGAGGCTAAACAGACCATTGTGGCTCAAGTTTTCCAATTTCTTAGGTCATTAACTGAAGTCATAATATAGATCTGGTATAGAGAGCACATTCAGTAGTCAATTTTAGAGCTCCAGTAATCAATTTAAAGCCCCACTGATACCCAGTGATCAGATATTGCTTCCAAGTCAGATAAAAATCTAAGTTTAAGACTAGGCGTGGTGGCTCACCCCTGTATTACCAGCACTTTGGGAGGCCGAGGCGGGCAGATCACGAGGTCAGGAGTTCGAGACCAGCCTGGTCAACATGGTGAAACCCCATCTCTACTAAAAATACAAAAATTAGCCGAGTGTGGTAGCACACGCTTGTAGTCGCAGCTACTTGGAAGGCTGAGGCAGGAGAATCGCTTGAACCTGGGAGGCGGAGGTTACAGTGAGCTGAGATCGTGCCACTGCACTCTAGCCTGGGTGACAGAGCGAGACTTCATTTCAAAAAAAAAAAAAAAATCTGAGTTTACTATTACTTTGCTACAGTTAGCAGCATCAAGATTAAGTGTCATCATTCTCACATCTTAGTTTCTTCCTCCTACCCACAATCTGCAACTAAAGTGCAGGAGCAGAGGACTTTTTTCAGTGTTTGACCATATGTTGTTAAAGCCTGGTAGAAATTGTTTTAATATTTCATGTCACAGGACCGCTGAAAAGCATCCACTAGAGAAAGTACAGTTGATCCTTTAACGACACTGATTTAACTGCGTATGTCCACTTGTAGGCAGACTTTTCACCCAAACTCAGACTGAAAAGTGGGAAGAGAAATCCTTATATAGGGAGGGCTGACTTTTTTGGCTGAGTTTTCTTTTGTGGGGGGGTTCCACAGGGCCAATGGCAGAACGTGAGTATTCTCAGATTTTGATATACATGGGTTTCCTGGAACTCAGCCCCCACATATACTGAGGGACAACTGTATAAGAAAAATAGTTTCCAGAAAAACAGATGCATTGAGCTTATTATTGATGTCTCTGCCTTTTTTGTGACTCCTGTGATTAATCTGGTTCTTTTGATTTCTCTTCCAAACTCCAAAATACGGTTGCATATTAGTTGCTGCTGACAGCCGTCAATCTTTCAATGTTTCCAGTTGACTTTCTTATATTAGACCCCTAACTGGTCTTATTACATCTGGTTTCCTTTTCCCCTTTGAAATAAGTTTTTTATCCTGTTACTACAGTACGTTTTCCCTAAATTACATGTCACAATGTTATCCTCCTCAAAGATTTTAATGACTCTTGCATAGGGAAAATGCTCGAATACATCTAGATTGCCATTCTTTTAAAACCTTTAAAATAGGACATTCACTATTATTAACCCCTAATCACACCAATATTTAATTTACCATTTAATCACTTCACTTTCCCAGTTTATTCATACCTTCCATTTTATTCTATGAATAGTAAATCCTGTTGAGATTTAAAAGGTGTTCATCTGATGTCACTTTTTATGAGCCATTTTCTCACCTGCCGGTCAGTGGTTGTTGTCTCTGTGTTCTGTTATTATACATTTTATAGTGTTTTTATATTTTCTTATCACATATGGGTGTGTGTGTGTGTGTATTTTAATGCACTTGTGTGCAGGCTGTGAAAAGAAAAACTACCTAACCCCCTTACGTTTCCTATCCCCTTAGCATGCTGCAGGCATGTATACACACACATGCACAGAAACACATTTGTTAGATCAGTACACACAGATTTCACTGTAAAGAGATTAAACTTCAGAAGCAAATATCCTAAAGCAAATCCTACATTTCAGCCATGTAGTTGATTTTAGCAACATATACAAATAATATGTTGCAAGATAATGATTCACTCAATTCTTTTTCTACTGTAGTTCTTATATTTAGTGAATTTTATACATTGAGAGCACAATGGATTACTTAATGCTGATCCTACTAAGCAGGTATTTCGCTAAAGTTGGAATGAAATAGTGAGAGTGAAAATACATTTCTGTAGTTAGCACTCCCCAGAGTGTAAAAATTGCCTCTTGAAAATGATGTGTTCAAGGCTAAAACCTTCGTTTGTATTCTATGAGATATAATATGACCGATGAGTGAATCCTAATTTTCTCTCATGCCATTTCACTCCTGGTAATGCGTGCTTCATCTTGACCATTTTCATGGTGAATGATGCTGGAATCATAAAGTACACATTCTCTTTTCTGACTTTCTGGTCAAGGCTAGAAGTAGAGGCTCCCATTTTAGCTTTGCATAAAGCTGAAAAGAAGCAGAGTTTGCATTTATGTCAAAAGGAACTTCATAGGACAAAAGGTAGCTGAAATGTGGGAATTTTGATAAGAATGGCCCCTTCTATGTCAGAAGCATTTCTAATGTTTTTACTGCTAACATTCTTTTCCCCTCTATGGATCAGAAAATTTAGAGGAAATGAGAGTTTATGTTGGTATTCAACTTGAATTATATGTGAACATCCCAGGACCATTCTTACTATATTTACACTAGACATTTGAATCACTGTAGGACCTGCAAGTTTTATAAGAAAAATCGTCTATTTATATTTATACAGGCATACAGGTCAAGGTCAGTTTTGCAAAATGAGATTTTTTTTTTTAAGAAAATAAATGAGGTCTAGCCTATGTAAATATATGGAAAAACATTCAGTGAAGGCAGAGCAATGAAGGTTCTGATTACAATTGCATAAATTCCAAGGGATACTCAATTATTCTATCAAACTTCTTTGGAGTTGTTGCAATCATTTAGTTATTTTCTATGCTTATTTTAGGTTAACAAGTCAGCTAAATAGGATGTAACTTGAACAAAAAAGCTTGATCATGAAGCAACAATATATTGGGAGAAACATTTATGCAATACATGAAATCATGTCAATCATGTGTATGTGTATACATAGATGCAGTGAGGTTGTTTTTCTTCACATTTCTCATGTTAGGTAAATTGTTAGAAAACTATAGATAAACCTAATAGGATTATTCTTTACTGTAAAATAACGTGACTCATGGTCATTTCTTTACATAGCTACTTGAAAAAAGAATTGATCAGAAAGAACAATAAGATCAATAACTATAATTTACACTGTATATATGAAGGGGAAAATGAATAAATATTTAGTTTGGTGACACTTTCATAAAAGCAACACAAAATAGATTCATGTTAAATATTATAATTCGGTATTTTTAAAGTATTTTAATTATATTCATTAACTTTATTAATTTAATAACTATATTTAACTTAATTACACCATTTATTTAACTTAATTGGATTCATTAATCTCATAACTATATTGTTAACTTTGCTATAACTTAAGAATATAAAAATAAACCTTCTAGACTTAAAATTGGTTTTGGTATAAAGAAGTATTGAGAATAAGGTGACTCAGGGTCAGTTGCATGGGTGTATATATGTGTGTATATATATTATATATATATATATATTTGTACATATGCACTCACAGACATACACACACGTTACACACATTTTTTAACCAGCCAGTAAAATCAGCAAAGGACAAGGAAAATGAACATCTAAGATCTTTGATGACAATTTTCAATAAGACAAGGAAAAGAGAATCAACAGAATTAATGAACATTGATATCAGGGAAAAAAGCTTGTGAGTTATTGAAGTATCAATACCAGTGCAATCAAACTATACAGCTATGGATTAAATATGTTAGTTTTAAGCCCTTCTCTGTGACATTTCAGTTTCACAACAAATATTTACAAGAATCTTAGAGTCCAGTGGCATTGAGAGCAGGAACATATTAACAAAGGAAAACATAATTTTATTTCAAAACCTACAAAAATAGGCTCCTTAATTTTGCCTTATTTCCATGATTCAATTTATCACACTGATTTTTCAAACATTTGAAATGATCATCATCGTTTTCTGATCAATTAACATATGAACAGATTTTTGGCTTCACTCACAATGACAATAATAATATTAAAACAATAGTGAAATGTAGTTCTTCTCCAATCAGTCTTGTAAAATAAAGGAATTTAATACTTGGCAGGGGATTATGAAGTACATTTTAGCTAGAGTATCCAAAAATAACAAAACATAAAATAATAGTTTATACTTTGGACAATTCTCCAACTACAGATTTATTCAGCGGATATATTCTTAGATATATGTGAAAATACATGTACAAGAATATCCATTATTGTACTCAATAAAATAGCTAGTGATAATAACAAAGGAACCTCCTATCAGTTCATTGAAGATTGTTTGAAAAGAATGAAAAATTTCTTCACTGTGGAAAATGAATATATAGAACTACATAAATGATATGAGGATCTTTCTGAGACAAATTGTTTAGTAAAAAGAAAAGTGCAAGGGATTTGAGGTTTTAGGAGGGCAAACGTCAGCTAATAGCTACATATTTATAACCTCTGATATATCAGACTGTGTGTTTCAGTTCAGTGAGGTGAGGACAGATGGGATCAACTGGACAGATGTATTAACTTTGCATTATATACATGTTTAGTATCTTAATTATTTACCATATTTGCATATTGCTTTTATATTAAGGAACAGTACTAATACTTCTATCCATTTTGAAGGCATGAAAACAGTTTAAATATGGCACCATCTCCCTCTTTGAATTCTAGAAGCTTCCCTTGCCAAAGATTTGCCCCCCAACCATACTGAAATGCTTATTATATTAATATCATACCATGCTTCTCATACTTCTGGGGATTTTCTAATTTGTTGATTTTTAAATGCCATGGACAGTCTCCACCCATTTGGCTTGCCATTTACTTGAGATAATAACTATTCATTTTTAAAAATGTACCCTCAGAACTTTGAGAGGCCGAGGTGGGTGGATCTCCTGAGGTCAAGAGTTCAAGACCAGCCTGGCCAACATGATGAAACACCATCTCTACTAAAAATACAAAAATCAGCTGGGTGTGGTGATGCGCTCCTATAGTCCCAGCTACTCAGGAGGCTGAGGCTGGAGAATCGCTTGAACCTGAGATGTGGAGGTTGCAGTGAGCCGAGATTGCGCCACTGCACTCCAGCCTGGGCAACAGAGCAAGACTCTGTCTCAAAAAAAATAAAAATAAAAATACCTCAGACACCATCAATTCCAGAAACGTTTCCCTGTAATCGTCTCTGGATTTCTTCTCTTTCCTGAATTTATTTCTGTATATACTTTAGTAACAGCACTCTGTAGTTCTTTTGTTTGGATGTTTAACATCCAACTAAAATGTGAATTCCATTAAATTAATTTTTGTGTTATCTCTGCAAATATAATGTAGAGCATAGTTACTGAAATACAATAGGTTCTAAAACTTTTAATAAATGATGATGCAAAAAAGATTATGATATTTGAAAAGTAGGTACATACAGTGGCTCATGTTTGTAATCACAGCATTTTGGGAGGCAGAGATGAGAGAATCGCTTGAGGCCAAGAGTTCAAGACCAGCCTGGGCAACATAGGAAGACTTCATCTCTGCAAAAAATTTTAAAAAAGAAAAAGTTAGCCAGACATAGTGGCACCTGACATCTGTAGTCCCAGCTACTTGGGAGGCTGAGGTGGGAGGCTTGCTTGAGCCCAGGAATTTGCTGTTACAGTGAGCTATGGTTGTGCCACTATACTCCAGCCTGGGTGACAGAGGAAGACCTAGCATTGAAAAAAAAAGGTGTAAAAAATTGATGTTCACAGGAATGTTTGTAACTTAAAATAGGATGTTGTGAGTACATCTAGAATGTAAGCTCTATTCATCAGGCATTTTTATTTGTGTGGCTTATTGCTATATTTCTAGTATCTAAAAAAGTACCTAGAATATATTTTGATAGTTAATAAGTGAATACATTCATAAATACTCTTTCTGATGAGACTGGTAATTACAGTAATTAAATAACTTCTCTAACAATATTAACTTAAAATTACTTTAAATTTGGATTGATATAATTTTAATTTCCAGAGGAGTAATCCAGGCAGAAGTCCAACAGACTCCTGGTCCTGAAACTCATGAGCAAGTCTACTGTTTTAGAAAAACTTAGATAAATATAGTGTTTGATGACACTGGTGAGAATTAAATTACCAGAGCAACAAGTTTGGGAGGAAAAGAGAAAAGGATAGAAGAAAAGACAAGCCAGGTGCAGTGGCTTATGCCTGCAATCCCAGCATTTCGGGAGGTATAGGCAGGAGGATCACCTGAGCCTAGCAGTTTAAGACCAACCTGGGAAAGGTAGTGAGAACCTGTATCCACAAAAAAATAAAATAAAATAAAAATAAAATAAAAAATTAGCCAGGCGTGGTGTGGCATGTATGTGGTCCCAGCTACTTGGAAGGCTGAGGTGAGAGGATCGCTTAAGCTTGGGAGATCCAGGCTGCAACGAGCTGTGATCTCACCACTGCACTCCAGCCTGGGCAACAGAGTGAGATCCTGTCACAAAATGAATAAATAAATAAATACACTTAAAAACATTTTTTAAAGCAGAGAGAAGATGAGACACAAGTAGACAATGGAAGAAATGACAAGTCAATAGAAGATAGACTGACCACTGAGGATTTATGTTTGGGGAGCAGAAAAAGAACTAGTAATTCCTAAAAGAGCATAAGAAGTGAAGATGAGAAAAGGGTATAAGGGAATCAGAAGAATGTAATATCACAGAGCTTAAGCAAGAATAATTTGCTATAAATGTGTGTTATTCATTCAACTAGACGAAGATAAATATTGAGTTTGTTAACTCTGAAAGAACATTTTACTGTTGTGAGTAGAAGGCAAATTGTGAAGAAATCTCTAAGGAGTATTAGAAGAAAACTTGAAGAAAGCTAATAGAGACACCTCATTTATTGTAGGAAAAGTAAAAAGGAAAAAAAATGATGCTTTAGGTTACAACCATGCCAATAAAGTATTTTTATTATTTGCAAATATAATTACAAGAGATTGGGTGACCTGTGTTCAGAAGAATAGTTTGAATAACGGTTGCAATTTAGATTGATTGTTCCCTGGGAGGCAGATGTTGAGGCCGAGATTTGCAAGAGGGAGTTTTATTAGAGCCTTCTTGGAACAAGACCTGTGAGGCACTGCAGGGGTCAGGACTGGACAGAGAGAGAAGTCAAAATGTAATACACTTGCCAGAGTCAATCTCATGAGGAACTTCAGGGCTGGAATTGCTTTACAGAGCTGCCCCAAATTTAGACACGGAGACCGGCCCTTTGCATCCTGAATCAATCAGCCACTGGATATGAGGAACTCCAGGGCAGGGCTTGGGTGAAATGGCTCCCTTTCCCTCAATAGCAATGACTGAAGAGAAGCACAACAGTGAAGCTGGGGAAATAAGTGCCTAGTTCAGAAAGGGAGCTTAGGTTGATTAGAACACACAGGTTTATAGCCTCAAATTTCCATTGTGAAAAATACTATATAATATAACATAAGTTCATCAAAAAGTTGGATGTGATTATTCAACATTTTTAATGCTTGTGAAAGTAGAAAGTGTTTTCCTTTCTATTCTATATTTTCATAGACTAATTTAATGTCTATGAGTTTGATGTTTTTTGCTATCACTGTTGCAATGCTTGTGAATCTGTACTATATACATCTTGGGGCAAAAACGGACCAAAGTAATCTAGTACTCTGGCTCTTACTGTCACTCTGTGTTCTTCATTTCTTGGGTAAAACCCAGAAATGATCAGATAATTAGGCTAAAATAATTAATGTAGTTTCTAGTTGTCCAATTTTTGTTTCCTGTTCATAAAGCTCATAAATGTATCACCAGCTGTTAAAGAGAAATATTTATTATTATTATTATTATTATTATTATTAAGACAGAGTCTCACTCTGTCATGCACGCTGGATTCCAATGGCATGATCTCCACTCACTGTAACCTCTGCCTCTCAGGTTCAAGTGATTCTCCTGCCTCAGCCTCCCGAGTAGCTGGGATTACAGGCACCCGCCACCACGCCTGACTAATTTTTGTATTATTACTAGAGATGGGGTTTCACTATGTTGGCCAGGCAGGTTGTGAACTCCTGACCTCAGGTAATCTGCCCACCTCAGCCTCCCAAAGTGCTGGGATTACAGGTGCAAGCTACTGTGCCCAGCCAGAAATATTTTAAGGATGAAATACAAGAAGCTATTTAATAGATTTGGCCTGTGTAAATATCATTATTAATGGCATGTGAGTGTTTTAATTTTAAAAGATTTCATTTTTTTGATAGAATAACTTAATTGTTCTATTAAGAGGGGATATTACAGGAAAATGATATTCTGAAAGTCTTGTAGTAATTGATGAATCTACTCAGCGTCTGTCCCTTGTAAAATCAGTAAGAGACCAATAAGAATAAAAGTTAGTAGTTGGAAGTTTTTACCACAGACATAAGCATTTGAAATTTTGATAAATTAAGAGCTGTTTTAATTATTTTTAAGGGAAAAATAATTCCAGATGCTTAAGTATAACAGTATATAGAAAAGGTGTTTAGAAAAGGTGTTAGATTCATGAAAGCAAAATCAAACACCACATGTTCTCACTCATAAGCAGGAGATGAACAATGAGAACACATGGACACAGGGAGGGGAAACTCACACACTGGGGCCTGTTGGGGGGTGGTGGGGGTGGGGCAGGTGGGATAGCATTAGGAGAATTATCTAATATAATGAAGAGTTGATGGGTGCAGCAAACCAACATGGCAAGTGTATACCTATGTAACAAACCTGCACGTTGTCCAAATGTACCCCAGAACTTAAAGTATAACAATTAAAAAAAGGGCTTCAAGATAATGCACTCATAGTGCTAGGTTTATGAGTGGTGATGAAACTGCGTGCTAAGTCTTTCATATAATAAATATGATCTCCTACAACACAATACAAACTGCATATAGGTTGGTTGGTTCATTGGTTGGTTGAGTGGAAATTTAGTAGTACTACTACTACCAGTCAATCGACACACTTAATTTTCCTGAGAAAAGAGATATAACAACACATGATTTATAGTTGTACACATTTTATGATTTTACATTCTATTCATTCATTGAGAAAGGACACACCATAACTCAGTGAAGCAAAGTCTTAGAGAGTAGAAACAACTGTTTCTTTTTGGTGGTCTTAGAAACCTGGCTTTAGTGAAATATAGAATTGAAAAATATTTCCCCATGTTCTACCATGAATGCGTGTGCTTGTGTGTGTATGTGTGTGTGTGTGTGTGTATTAATCAGCATAGAGTCTTGCTTTCTACTGAATGTAAGTTTTGTGAAGATAAGAGTCTTTTCTTGAACAAAACAATAAAGTATAAAACAGTATGAGAGCTTTATTATAGAGCTTGTGAAAATACTCTTCACAATTTTTTATTATATTTAACATGAGCACTCATATTTTCTTTTTTATTTTATGGAAAAGGTTAATGTTAAATCTGCCTTGGACCTCACATATAATTTGGTAAAAGCTCTTTAAGTTAGAAACATAGATTAATTGTTTTTTCTAAGATCATAGTAGTCTTGTGAAAGCTTTTCAAACTCCATATCAGTGTTATTTCTTTCTATTAACCTATACATTCCAATTAAAGATACATTTTCCCCCTTATTTTGTGATTCAATTAACATTCATCCAGTTTCCTAATCTCTGGGAATTACATCATAATATCCATTGAAATGATGTATCTTTTTTTTTAAAGAAGGCCAAAGGCATAATCACCAATGTGCACTAATGTTCGCAGATTATATGGTAAGGGTCCATTTGAATTTGTGCTCATTTTTCTAGGAAAAGTATACAAAATAATGAAGTAAAATCTCCCAAGTTTCTCTATCTCGGAACCTTTTGAAAGAAGGTCAATGGTGGCTATTATTTTATTTACTCACTTATGTATTCATTTGGTGCTAATTTTACAACTTTTCAATAAGTTATAAAAAATGTTCTCGATGGGCTGAAATATCCACAATGAACAATTGCTATCATCATAAACCAAAACAGATATAATTGGCATTTGATACCTTTATAATTAACTCTATTTTCTATATACATTTTGAGAGTCTCAGACATAATTGACTTACACAAAATCAACTAAAAACTAGTCCAATTTCGCACCTCAAAGGGGATTAGAGCCAGAAGCTAGATCCACTGCTATCCTTCTAGGAGGTACATTATTTTACTGTTTTTACTGCACTGCCTTTACATTTTCCTCCAGGCAAAACTAGCACTGTTTCTCTAAAAGGGCAAAGGTCTAAATGCATGTTTTATTACCGTTATTTCTATGTGATTAATTCTAATGCGATTTAATAAGTTCTGATTAATAATAACTCAGTATTTATCTGCATCATAATAATTGTTTTTGAACTTGTTTAATGCTAACATGGGTTATTTTTTAACATTCTTTTATAGTTTTATAAAACCACTGTGAAGGTAAATGTGTTCAAGAGAATAAATTTTTCTGTAGGAAAATATATTGAGTTGGTTATCAGGAGGGTTCCTTTTATTAAGAAAATTTTGGTTTAAAAATTGATAAACTAATTAGAGAATGACATCTTGAGGAGGTGAGCAGGATCTAAACCAACAAAAAATAGTTAAAATGAGAAACGTTATTTTTATCTGACGGGAAGGCAGCACAACAGAAGAGAACAGAACACATGTACTCTAGAACTTAAAGTATAATAAAATAAAATAAAATAAAAAGAAGACTACAGTGACAGAAGACTGTCACCTCTTTCTGTGGAGAGGCATGAGAGTGAGAGTCAGTAAGAAAACTTCAGGTTGTTAGTAAAAAGGGCTTCAACAGACGCTTCTCAAAAGAAGACATTTATGCAGCCAACAAACTTACAAAAAAATGCTCATCATCACTGGGCATTAGAGAAATGCAAATCAAAACCACAATGAGATACCACTCACACCAGTTAGAATGGTGGTCATTAAAAAGTCAGGAAACATCAGATGCTGGAGATGATGTGGAGAAATAGGAATGCTTTTACACTGTTGGCGCGAGTGTAAATTAATTCAACCATTGTGGAAGACTGTGGCGATTCCTCAAGGATCTAGAACTAGAAATATCATTTGACCCAGCAATCCCATTACTGGGTATATACCCAAAGGATTATAAATCATTCTACTATAAAGACACATGCACAAGTATGTTTATTGTGGCACTGTTCACAACAGCAAAGACGGAACCAACAGAAATGCCCATCAATGATAGACTGGATAAAGAAAATGTGCCAAATATACACCATGGAATACTATGAAGCCATAAAAAGGATGAGTTTATGTCCTTTGCAGGGACATAGATGATGCTGGAAACCATCATTATCAGCAAAATAACACAAGAACTGAAAAACAAACACCGCATGTTCTCACTCAAAAGTGGGAGTTTAACAATGAGAACACATGGACACAGGGAGGGCGACATCACACACCAGGGCTTGTTGGGGAGTTGGGGGCGAGGGAAGGGATAGCATTAGGAGAAATACCTAATGTAAATGATGAGTTGATGGGTGTGGCAAACCAACATGACACGTGTACACCTATGTAAGAAACCTGCACGTTGTGCACATGTATCCCAGAACTTAAAGTATGACAATTTAAAAAAAAGGGGGCTTCTGGATAATGCACTCATGGTGCTAGGTTTATGGGTGGTGACGAAACTGCATGCTAAGTCTTTCATATAATAAATATGATCTCCTACAACACAATTAAAATTGCATACAGGTTGGTAGGTTAATTGGTTGGTTTGAGTGGAAATTAAATGGATTAGTTTTTTTATTTTGTTTATTTATTTTTAAATTAAAATATTTGGAATTACATGGAAAACAACCAAGATGAGGAAAAGTGATAGAATATAGGTATCCTAGGTGCTTGTTTAGCTAATGAAGAGGACTTTGTAATTCAATGAGACATAGAAAGAGTTTATGCAATTCTATCCATAATTTTAAGAGGTCAGATTATACCAACTCATACTCCATTTACAATTGAAGCTATAGTATATATTTTAAAAATTATAACCATTGAGGGGTGATTGGGGAGATGTTGGCCCAAGAATACAAAATTTTATTTAGGAAGAATAAATTCAAAAGATCTAGTGCACAATATGGTAACTATAGCTGATAATAACATGTTGCATACTTAAAAATTGCTGAAAGAGTAGATTCTGAGTGTTTTCTTCACAAAAAATGGTAAGTATGTGCATATGTTCATTAGCTTGATTTAGTCATTCCACAGTGTATGCACGTATCAAAACACCTTGTTGCTTACCATAAATATATACAGATTGTATTTGTCAGCTTAAAATACATAGGAAATAAAATTAATGACTATCAATCAATGTTAATCCATGATGGCCTGAGAAATGGGCAATCAACTTTAAGAGAAGGAGGACAAGGAGCAAGAAGAGAGGAAGGACTCTACTTTCCAGCCATTGAAATCAAGTTATCTTACCAAAGCATAAATTGGGAGTCAAATGTGCATGCACTTTTGATTTGGTGTTTACTTTTTGCTTTACAAAAGATTTAGTAGTTATACAAAGTAATTTATATGTTTTAAAGTATTATTGTTAGTAGTAAAATACACATGCATATGAAAATAAAATCCCGAGGATGCCCAGATTTTCAGTGTGGATAGAATTACTTTTACAATGAAAACTTTTACCTAATTTATTTTTATAATTATTTCATATGCTACTGAAAGATTCTAGAAAAGAACAACATATTAAATAAGATTTACAATTATAATTATCTAAATTTATTTAGTATATACTAGTGCATATAAAGTGTTATCATTGTATTATCATACATTTTCAGTAAAATGGTGTTGCCTAAATGACTTAAATGAAAGCAGTCAAAGCTTCAAGATCATAGGAATTTTCTTCTTTAATCTAAAATCATGTTACTTTTTTGTTTGTTTTCTAATTGAACTCTGAATACTATCCAGAGATTTTTATTTTCAAAGTAACTGATTGTCTTTATATGTAGAAATGTGAAAATGCTATCCTCAACAGAAAACCTTTAGTATCGTAAGCATACTAGTGATTGGAAAGTTTTATGTTGTCTAAACCTTTCGGTTATTTTAGAAGCAGCATATGGGAGGTAAACTCTTGATTTTATCTACGCATTTAATTCATAATTTTTAGATTATGGAATTGAAGTTTAAAAATAATGTATCCTTAGAACATGACCAGCATTGATCATTTCTTTATATTTCAGTGTCCGAGGTCATTGCTAGAAAGTCTATTGTTCAGATAATACACATTCCTGGACAGGTGATTTTCTTGTTTTTTTCTCTCTGAAAACATTTAGGATGTCTTCTGTTTACATAGTATTTTGCAATTTCATAATAGAAGAGAAAAAGAATTAAAGACGATCCAAATTCCTATGTTACATAAATTTACTTTTTGAGGTGTTATTAACATAAAATTAACCATTTTGAAGTGCACTATTCAGTGGAATTTAGTACATTTTCAATGGTGATCAACTTACACCACTATTTATTTCCAAAACATTTTCATCACCCCAAAAGAAACCCTATACACATTAAATAATCATGCCCTAGTACCCCAGTTCCCGAACACTGACAATCACTAATCTGTTTTCTGCCACAATGTATTTACCTATTCTGGATATTTTGTATTTATTTTATATGTTATATAAAAAAATCATACATTAGGTGACCTTTTGCTACTGGCTTCTTTCACTTAGCAAAACGTTTTTGAGGTTTATCAACACTCTGTGTTGTATCAGTACTTTATTTTTAAGGTTGAGTAATATTCCATTGTATAAATTGATACATTGCATTTTGTTCAGCCATTCATCCATTGATAGATCTTTGGTTTCTTCCTTTGGCTATTATAAATAAGGCAGCTTTGAACATTTACATACAAGTATTCGTGTGAAAACATATTTTCAATTATTTGGGGTAAATAAGAAGAAGTAGAATTGCTGAGTCATATAATAATTCTGTTTAACTTTTTGAGGTACCATCAACCTGTTTTTCACCAGTGGTTGCACCCACTTATATGCCTACCAGCAATATATGAGTATTCCAATTTCTCTACAACCTTGCCTAGACTTACTAGTTCCCATTTTTAAAATATGCCTACTCTATTCACTGTGGAGTGGTATCTCAATTTGGTTTTGTTTAGCATTGACCTAATGACTAATCTCATAGAGCATTTTTTATATGTTTGTTGGCCATTTGTATATTTTCTCTGAGGAAATTTATTTTCAAGCCATTTATTCATTTGTATAAAAATGGTGTTGTCTTTTTGTTCTTGAGTTCTAAGAGTTCTTTATATATTATGAATCCTAAACACTTGTAAGATATATGTTTTGCAAATAATTCTTCTTATTATGAAAGTTATCTATTTATCTTTTTGGTAGTGTCTTTTGATGTACAATAGTTTGTTTTTATGAAGTCCAATTTACCTATATTGTCTTTTGTTGTTTGTGTTTTTGACATCATACTAAGAATATATTGCCAAATTCAGGTCATGAAGATTTACCTTTATGTTTTCTCCTAAGAGTTTTGAATTTGTAGTTCTTAAACATAGGCCATTGATCTATTTTGAGTTAATTATTGCCATCATTTTATTTATATCCTTATTTTTGTCCAGTCATTCTTATTAATATTTCTGCATGCTTTTTATTAGATAAAGCATTTCTAGATCTCCATTTATTTTTATCCTTCTTTTACAGTGAATTCTTTTACATAAATGAATGTAAATTATTTCTGCGTATACTAAGCACACAATCTAGAATTTGTTTAAAACAACTTTTTCTTGTACTGAGGCAGTGTCTTCTTGGTTTATTTTTTAATATAAAATTATTCACAGGTCGCCAGTTTTCGTCAAATATATCATGATAATTTTTTTGTCTGTTTATATCTATAACTGATATTACTGCCACTTCTTCTGACTTACCGCTGAACTTCAGCTTTGTGTGCCTTAAAGGTGCCTGTGGAATGACAGACTTTATCTCAGGAGGCACGCAGAGAGATCAGGCAGGCAAACGGGGAGGTCATCGTTTAGTTAAACCAACAAGAAAGACTTGTGTAAGATATGTTTCTGATTTTCTCAGAAAGCATATGCCTTATTTCAATTTGGATACAAACCGTCTCTTTCACAATGTTGGTTTGGGGAAGATGAGTAATAGAATCCAACCAAAGGTGCCGTGTACAGAAGGTTCTTTGGTTAATGTCCACTAATGTTCATTTTCTTCTCATTTTCACTCTCCTCTGCTGCTCACCTCAGAGATTCACATGTACTTAACAGCAAAATAAAGACTCTTCCATTCCTCACTCAAGTATTCTTTGTTGCTGTTGTTGTTTTCTGAATCTTTTGTCTCTTTCCTCTGAATCATGTATTAGTAAGTCTCACCCATTTGCTCCTCTCCAGGAACTTGCTAGAATTTCTTCTTAAAATTATTATGAAGGAATTTACTGTAATTTTTTTATATTCCAATAAATGTGAAACTGAATGGGAGACTAACTTTGTTTGCTTCATCTGTCATTTTAAATCAGAAGTCTCACAATAACATTGAGATAATATTTAAATAGAATCCGTATATAAAATAATGGTTAATTTGTTTGAAATATAAGCAGTGCCAGAAAATATTAATTAATTTGTGGTAAAGAAAGCATACATTTTTATACCATGGAATCTGCATTATACCTATTATTGTGCATCAAATTTGCCACCAAAGAAAATAGCATGTAATTCAAAATATTCAAAGAAATATTAATTCAACAAGAAATAAAGATTTTTTTTTTTGAGACCGTCTCTTCTGTTCCCCAGGCTGGAGTGCAGTGGCATGATCTCAGCTCACTGCAACCTCCACCTCCCAAGTTCAAGCAATTCTCCTTCCTCAGCCTCCTGAGTAACTGGGATTACAGGCGCATACCTCCACGCCCGGCTAATTTTTGTATTTTTAGTAGAGACAGGGTTTCACCATGTTGGCCAGGCTTGTCTGGAACTCCTGACCTCAGGTGATCTGCCCGCCTTGGCCTCCCAAAGTGCTACGATTACAGATGTGAGCCACCAGGCCCTGCCAAAGATAATTTTCAATAACTAGATTTTATTATTTACAGCCTATGATTTTTTAAAACATTTCTCATCTGGATTATATATAAATGCTTCTCAATAATAACATACAAAATGCCTTCACAGCACTCCTACAACAAATGTGATTAAAAAATTCATAGTCTTTTATTTCCTTTAGTATTTTAGACAAAAATCAAAAATGAGGTATTAAAATTTAACCCCCAAAAGAAATTATTGATGGTGCAGGAAAATACATAAAAATCAGGGGTATATTCTATCATAATATTCTATTAATTCTATTATAATATTGTAGAAAAAAATTAAAAAATAAATACTCAGGGTATCAAAGTAATTAAATGGCCAAAGTGAAATGAAAAAAAAAAAAAGCACATGGAAAGACAACTGCATTGCAATATGCTAATGACTATCTCTAATACTGTTGAGTACAACCATGACCCAGACACTATTCTTAATGTTTATATATTTTAACAAATATAATCCCTAGTAATAATAGTGATTGCTATTATGATGATGATTTTATGGAGAAAAGGGAGTGTCAGTCTAATCTGTGATCCCATAACAGCATGACTGAAACTGGGTAATTTCTAATCAATAGAGATGTATTAGCTTAATAAATTTGATATTGGAGGCCAGGAAATCCAGTATCAAGGTGCTACCATCCTGTAAGGATCTTCTCTCTGTGTCATGCCATGGTGGAAAGCAGAAAGCCTGTGGGGTCTGTGGAGGGTGGCAGGGGGCTAATACAGACACACCAGAGATTACATTTCAACATGACTTTTGAGGGAACAAATATTCAAACCATAGCCTATATGTTGAAGATGAAATCTTTGTGAGCATATTTGACCCAAGAAAAGTGATATCTGTGAAAACAGCCTTAGGATGTCTCTGATTAAAGAATGATAAGTACTTTCTTTTCCTTCTAGACTAATACCAACTTGGTCTTTTATAACAGTACTATGTTAGTCCATTTTCACACTGCTGATAAAGACATACCAGAGACTGGGCAATTTACAAAAAGAAAAAAAAGAGGTTTAATGGACTCAAAGTTCCACGTGGCTTAGGAAGCCTCACAATCATGGCAGAAGGTAAAAAGCAGCAGACAAGAGAAGAGAATTTGTGCAGGGGAATTCAGATCTCGTGAGACTTATTCACCATCCCAAGAACAACACAGGAAAGACCTGTCCCCATGATTCAATTATCTTCCACCAGTTCCCTCCCAAGACACATGGGAATTATGACAGCTACAATTCCAAATGAGATTTGGGTGGGGACACAGCCAAATCTTATCAAGTACCAACCCCCTCAACAAGGGCAGAAACTTCGTGGCCTAAGTATCTCTTACAGTTCTCCTGTCTTAATACTGTTAAAATGGCAATTAAATTTTAGTGTAAGTTTTGGAAGAAACTCACTTTCAAACACTAGGATGGTGATATAAAAAGGTTAAATTATTCTCTCAAATCACATTGGTGTGAATTTGCAGACCTAGGATTTGATTCCATTCTGTCTGCCTCTGATCAACATGCATTTAACCACTATCCTATACTGATGTTCCGTTTAGCCTAGTGCACAGTATATGAGTAGTACATCTGCTAAGTGTAGAAAGACTGCAGTGAGAAACTGTGAAGATATGTGATAAGATGAATGATGGCTCCTAAATACGCCCATGTCCTAAATCCCGGAATCTGTGTCTCTAGTGCCATTTATAACAAAAGGGAATTGATATTGGTAGTCAGCTGAAATTGAAATAATGAGAAACACACACAGAGAGAGAGAGAGAGAGAGAGAGAGAGAGAGATACTGCCACAACAGAAACATCTGAGAGATATCACGTGAAAATTACTGGACCTGCCCTTGCTGGTTTTAGAATGGGGCTACGAGCCAAGGAATTCAGGCAGCCCCAAAAAACTTAAAAAGGCATGGAAATGAATTCTCCCCTTGAGCCCTGAGGAAAGGAATGTGGCCCTGCTGATAACTTGATTTTAATTTATTTACACTTGTCAGACCAGGAGGATTGCAAGATAACACACTTATGTTGCCTTAGGACACAAAGGTTGTGGTTGCTTGTTACAGAACCAGTAGGAAATTTATCCAGGACATAAATAAGGGATTCTCATGATTGCTACATTTAACATTTCCTTGAAATACCAGAAATTTATGAAAGAAGAGGAGATAAAACATTTCAGATAGTGGGGTCCAATATTTGAAAAGAAAACTGGAAAAGAAGAGTTGAGAAATAGTATATGGAGATTCTTGGTTTTAAGTTACAGTGAGTAACAGCTTATTAGGATGACATCTAAACAATCTATGAAAAATTTTTTAAATTTAACTTTTTTTGAGTAATGTTCTCATTCTGTTGCCAGGCTGGTGTGTAGTGGTACAACCACAGGCCAATACAGCCTCAACATCCCAGGCTGAAGCAGTCCTCCCACCTCAGACTCTCCTAAATTGTGGGGATTACAGGTATAAGCCACCACACCTGGCCCACTATAAATTATTTATGTTGAATCTTATGATGACATACGTGACACAGTCTGCATTTAATATTTTGCAATTTTGTTAGATTTATTTTAGTTTATATTTTTACACTTTAATTTCTACCATTATCTTCACCACAATAGGGGAGTTCTTAAAACCAAATGGTGGTAATTTGTTTTTTTTCAAGAATAAAAAAAAGGCTGTTATAGAGCTGGGCGCGGTGGCTCACGCCTGTAATCCCTGCACTTTAGGAGGCCGAGACAGGCGGATCACGAGGTCAGGAGATTGAGACCATCCTGGCTAACACGGTGAAACCCCGTCTCTACTGAAAATACAAAAAATTAGCTGGGTGTAGTGGCGGGCACCTGTAGTGCCAGCTACTCGGGAGGCTGAGGCAGGCGAATGGCGTGAACCCGGGAGGCGAAGCTTGCAGTGAGCCGAGATGGCGCCACTGCACTCCAGCCTGGGCAACAGAGCGAGACTATGTCTCAAAAAAAAAAAAAAGAAAGGCTGTATAATAGCGAAAAGCTTTAAAAATGTGCAAAACTGCAGTTAGGATTAATATTAAAATTGACAATCACAAATGAAGGAAGCATGGGAAGCATTGTTGGTAGTTGAAATTTATACACTTACAGAAAGAAATGAACATTAAATAGTCAGAAAAATCTTTATTTAAATACCTTTCATGATAAAATTCCAACAGAGACCTGGTAATCCAGCTGTCACTCTGAATTAAAGAAGTTGTACCAAATTACATTGAGATACATGGTAAAGAACAAAAGCCATTATGGATGTAGTTTAATGACCGAGCAGAGAAATAATGACCAGGTAAGTTTGGAAAGGTAGATAATAGCCAAACTCATGTAAGTTTTTGGAATCCATGGTAATCTTCTGTTTTTTATTTATTCACTTATTTATTTTTTTGATCTATGTGTGTGTGTGTGTTTTATGTTTCATATAGTATACAGAAAAGCTATGGGTGCATTTTAAGCAAGTAATTCTAAAAACTGATTCATATTTTGAAAAGGATCATTCTGGTTGTTTTGTGGAACATGGATTCTAAAGGAGAGAGAGGCTTAGGGAGCCTGGTTTTTAGGAAGCCATTGAAATAATTCAGGTGGTCAACAGTGGTGGCTTGCACTTAAATGTTAGAAGAAGAGATTAAGATACAGAACTTTCTGATGGATGGAATGAAGGGATGAGAGAGAGGAAACAAAAGGTATAGGCATGTGTAGTGGAAGACTTGGAGAGAAATAGATAATTTTCCATATAAAATTTTAAATGGCTCATTTGACATTGTTGGGAATGCAAGGCAGGCATTTAAATATTGGATTCAAAAAAATCAGTTGAACAGTCAGGATAGAGATGTGGTTGTGAGAGCCATTACACATGGTTGTCTTGTCATTTGACTGGTTAAACGACTTAGGGAGAAAGTGTAAATAGAAAACGAGAATATGGATTTTTATTTTGGTATAATAACAAATTCACTAAAGCAATATCTATGGTAATGTCTAGGAGAAAATGCATTATGATTACAATTGTAGTGTACAAGTGCCTAAGTTTTAGTTTGTTTTTAGAAAATATTTTTGTAGCACAATAGAGAAATATTTAATAGAATAATAGTTACATTTTCAATCCACTAAATAATAATTAAATCAAAATTAGAGTATAATCTGTATGTGTCAAATGGTTGGCTCATTAGGTTTTCTAAAGAAGAGTGTTTGATATATTGCTAAATATGAACTTTAATATTTTACAATACAAGATAGAGAAAAATGTTCCAGAATGATAAAACCTTCAGTAGGATACGCTGAAGTTAATGTGAAGAAACTACAGCAGGCAGCGTGCTTTATGCTGCTACTGCGTAGAATATCAATTATATAACATCCTCCCTAATTATGAAATTCTTTAATTTTCTTACTGTTTTAAAATTGACTCACTTTTCAACTTTGACTGTATTCTCTTTAAACTTTTTTTTTTTTTTTTTTTTTGGAATAGAAACATTTTTGGTTTAACTCAGTGAAAATTATTCTTATAACCAGCAAGATTCCCAGCCCGAGCTCAGGTCTCTCTTCCTTTTCTTATAAAGCCTCCAGTATCAATCCCATGATACACCATTTGTCCATTAACCCATTAATCCATTAATCCATGAGTGGATTCATCTATTCATGAGGACTACTTTTCATCTTTTCATGAGGACCAAGCCCTCATGACCCAATCACCTCTTTTTTTCTTTCTTTTTTTTTTTTTTTTTTTTTGAGACGGAGTCTTTCTCTGTCGCCCAGGCTGGAGTGCAGTGGCGCGATCTAAGTTCACTGCAGGCTCTGCCTCCCGGGTTCATACCATTCTCCTGCCTCAGCTTCTCGAGTAGCTGGGACCACAGGCGCCTCCCACCACGCCCGGCTTTTTTTTTTTTTTTTTTTTTTTTTTTTTTGTATTTTTAGTAGAGACGGGGTTTCACCGTGTTAGCCAGGATGGTCTCGATCTCCTGACCTCATGATCTGCCCGCCTCGGCCTCCCAAAGTGCTGGGATTACAGGCGTGAGCCAAGACGCCCGGCCGACCCAATCACCTCTTAAGGGACCTCCCTCTCAATACTGCCACATTGAGTTAATTAAATTTCAACATGAGTCTGGGCGCGGTGGCTCACGCCTGTGATCCCAGCACTTTAGGAGGCCAAGGCAGGCAGATCACTTGAGGTTAGTAATTCGAAACCAGCCTGGCCAGCAAGGTGAAACCCCGTCTCTACTAAAAATACAAAAATTAGCCAGGTGTGGTGACAGGCACCTGTCATCTCAGCCACTAGGGAGGCTTGAACCCGAGAGGCGGAGGTTGCAGTGAGCCAACATCGCGCCACTGCACTCCAGCCTGGGCAACAGAGCAATACTCTGTCATAAAATAAAATAAAATAAAATAAAATAAAATAAAATAAAATAAAATAAAATAAATTTTAACATGAGTGTTGAAAGGGGACAAACATGTGAGCCATAGCATACATGTTGAAGAAGAAAGTGTTATGGGCACATTTGTGCCAAGAAAAGAGAAATCTGTGAAAACAACCTGAGGATATCTCTGATTAAATTATAAATAACTGTCCTTTCCTTCTACGCTAAGACAAGTGAGTAACTATTGTTAAATCAGACTCACTTGGATCAGAGATACTACCCAACATAAAACTTACTTAATGATTTCAAGGATATACAATCCAGAGAAAAATATATAGGAAAAAACTCAGAATATTCTGTGTGGCTCCCCAGATCTCTGTAGAATGTACTCTCCACTGGCATGTAAAGAACAGGTCCCCAAGTAAGATGGGCAGTCACTTGCTTTAGAAAATATATTTAGGTTATGAAACATCTCCATTTTATACTTATATAGCTTATGCGACGTTTTCCAGGGAGTATGCCAAATTAATCACAGATTCTTGATTTAATTATCAAAAGCAACCCTAAAGTGGGGACATTCCACTAAAGCATCTAAAGGTAAGTATTCTCCTCCTACTAAATACCATTAGTTTGTTTTTAGGACATCTATTCTGAGCATGGTTACGAGGAGATTAGATCATATGCACATACCTTTTTTTTTTTTTTTTTTTTTTTTTTGAGACAGAGTCTTGCTCTGTCACCCAGGCTAACTGCAATGGTGGGATCTCCACTCACTGCAACCTCCACCTCCCGGGTTCAAGTGATTCTCCTGCCTCAGCCTCCTGGGTAGCTGGGATTACAGGCACATGCCACCATGCCTGGCTAATTTTTTGTATTTTTAGTAGAGACAGGGTTTCACCATGTTGGTCAGGCTTGCCTCGAACTCCTGACTTCATGATCTGCCCGCCTTGACTTCCCAAAGTGCTGGGATTACAGGCGCGAGCCAGCACACGCCTTTTATTATTCCAAGGAGTGTCTCCCCAGCAATGCAAAAAAATGCACAAGATAACAACTGTTTAACTTCTCAGTCTACCCTCTTGCTTAGTCAGTATCTCTACTATATATTTTTAAATTACATCTCTATATTCTGCCTTATACTCTGTGCCATGTTTTCTATAAAGAGTAATCTGACATCCTAACAACAAATTGGATTTTACTCATATAATTTTAACAAGATTTTTCTTCACAAAATTTGTTAAACATAATGTTACTCCAGATTTGTTTTAATATTATTTTATCAGTGTAATTATCTTTATTCCCCTACCTACCATAGTTATTTGATCTCTTTTTCTATGTATGTTGATGTCAGTATTTATGGAATGTGTAATTTTTATACAAAATATTTCATTTTTTATTTTTATTAAAAATCGTCACTGATGCAGCAGGAACTGATGTGATTGTAAAAGATATCAAAAAGTCAGAAGAATGTCAGCATTAATTTTTATGAGACCAACTTTACTTCCTTCTCTGGAAAGTTTCTAGAGGCATTTTAGCAAGTGGTGACTTCTATTCAGAACATAAAATATTTTTTCATCTTGAGAAATTATCATTTACATAATCTGGTTTTAATTTAAATACTATAAATGAATTATCAAATGCTTTGTTCATCATATACCTTTGTCAGAGGGATAAATGTAGTATTTTTCCATGTCCCATACACTTCCACGCACTGAGATACTGACCAAAGGACATCATTCTGTGAATTATGAAATTCATTTTGTTTGTGGACATAACAATATTCCACTTGTCACAGGAAACATTGTAGAACACTAGCTTCCAGTGTGAGTGTCTTACTTAATCCTTCTATACCCAGTAGCAATAACAGTTTTGCCTCTCTATCACTGAAACCCAGTTGCATGATGGGGAAGAAAACCCCTTTTTATGTGGGATATCCAAACCATTAGAAAAAAATGATTAAAGCCCCAATTCACTCTGATGTCCCACTACACTTAAGTTTAACATAGTTATTCAAACATTTGAAATTCCTTTGGCTCTCTAAGCCACACAGTCACTAACCATAAAGACATCAGTGATTATGATATCTCATAACCTTTCTTTTTAATGAATAAGTTGTTTTCCACCATTTTTGAGACCTCTGCTAAAGTTCTTATAAATTAATTTATACAAATAGAGTTTTGTTTTCTCTCATGACCTATTTCCAGCCATGGGAAGTCTCCTACAAAAGAGATACTTACTTATGTCCTTATTTGTGTTAACAAGCAAGACTTTTTCATCATGCTGACAACCTTCTAGGAATGTTATTTCAGTCCTACTCAGTATCCAAGATGAGTTCCTAAAACATACCCAAAGAATATTTAGAAAAATGGGGCCAGTGGTGATCAAGTCATCATATATGTTGTTGCTGTGGCATGATGAACATGAGTTCAATGTTTCTTCTGTGAGAATAACAAGTCCTGAAGTTTCTCCTACAACTTTCCATTGGTCATTGTCAGATCTGAGAGAATAACTAAGAGTTTTGTTGTCTTGTGCTGACATGCTCATGGTTTAATTTGTAGATGCAGCCTTCCTTGGAATATTAATCCTTTTACAAGTATCTTTTCCATTTGTTGTATCTCCCATTTCAACTTATTACATTTTCTTCCACCTAAAGTTGGCTTTAAACTCAGCAGCTATATCAATCGCCCACAAATCTGGTAATAAGGGCCACCTTACTAACACCTATCAGTGCCCCTTCTCACCTCCACTCCAAGCTGATGAGAAATTTGACATCTAGAGAATAAAAGACAAACCTCGTTGCTTGGTAATGGAGCTGCATTTACTGGTAGCCCTTGTTAAGCCAAAAGGGTCAAATGTATGCCTCATTTCAATATGAGTCATAAATATGCACTGGTAAATTGCTAATCCTAACCCTAAGCCTAGAAATATGAACTGGTAAATTCAATGACATCAGTACTAGGTATAAGACATTCTTTAAGTATACACAATTTCAAAAGAATGTATTTAAGGCAAGTCTGGCACCAGTGGATAAGAAAGAATGAAAAAATATTGTTAGATGGAAAAATGGAGCATTGGTTAATAGCGTTCTCCCACCCCATCATTCCTGCCTCTAGATTCTAAGAAATCATTCCAGTGAAGATTGCACCGTCTGTCCTCTCATTCTCAAACTTAGGTCGTGTTCACTTAAACAATTAAGCCAATCCATAGATATAGCCTTTTTTGTCACCCATTGTCAATAGCAAGTGTTTCAATTGCCTATTGATTAACACACTTCTCTGACTATAATAAGCACTGTGGTATGTTCATCAAATGTATGTTTCCTTGATTCTTTCCATATATTAATAACAGGAACCTGTATCTTCAGTAGAAAACATATATACATGTAGGCCACATTGACAGGGAATTTGCTGTTCTAAACTTGTAAATGCATTCTCTCATGTTACATCTGTTACATGATCAGGAAAGGTGACATAAGAACTAGTGGTAGTGCCACATGTTGCATATTCGTAACCCATAGAGTTAGCAGTAGAGGCTGTGTGATATGTGCTATGTGCCATCCCAGTCTTTGGGGACTTGTAACCACAGATATTTTCAAGAAATGTTTCTTCTGTTGATATTGGGTGAGTTTCTGGGCACATTGAATATTTTGTTGAATTCTAGAAAAATGTTTCATCTCTCGGCCCATCAGTAATTGGCTAAGCCGCAAATATTGTTTTCTTTTAGGAACCCAAACAGCTCTAGCCTGCCTGAGGCACTGCCTTAGCATTTCATTTCCTTTATGAACTGTCATCTCCGTGTTGTTGTTCTTGCTGTTTCCTTGTTTGGCATTCATAAACAATCTACATTAAGGATACATGTAGACTGTTTGGACTTTAAGAATAAATTAAGTCTCCCTTTGATTTGTCTGACCACAGAGCAAGGCTATAGCCTAAAAGTCTGTGAATATCCAAGCACTTCCCTGAAGGTGGGGACCAATTTCTCTTCCACCAATAAATGGAGAAGTTTCGACTCTCGGTGTTCAAAATTTCCTTTACTTTTTTCAATTACAGTTTTATCATCCATAAATAGTATTTATTCTAATTGCCAAAGAGCAAGGCAACCCTACATCTTGGAGATCCCATGAGTGAACCAGGCAGCCTGCTGTGTCTTGGCCAGGAGGAGATCGAAAGATTTGTGCCACACAGTGATGGAGGCTAGAGATTCTTGGAAGACTCTACCTTCAGCTTTTGGCCAATAAAACAACTTGCTCATAGATGTGCCTATGTGGTGTGCACATCTGAAATTCTCCCTCATGCCATGCTCTCTAAAACAGCATTTCTTCGTAATAGAGCTTCACGGTGCTGCTCTTTCCTTATTTCAATGCTTATTTGTCATTACCCATAGCAGAGTCTATTTTCTAGGTTCATAAATATCTCATGTCCTTTCATGATGAAAGTGTTTTTGACTAGTATTAGCAATTTACTTTTGAATAAGCTATACATAAAGCTTCCTTAGGCAACCTTTGGTGTCAAAAACTCAAGAGGTCTCTGCTAAGTAGCCATAATTGAGTTCTGTCAAAACTGCGGACTGTATGTTTTGGATGCACATATTCTAACATCATTGAACAGTTGGATTATAAGAGTCTTGTGGGACTGCTTGGGCCACCACCCTCTGTAACAGTTTTAATGGTTACTTTTTTCAGGACTTCATTCACATTTATATTTCTTTCTATGAATAGAAATTTAGCTTACTAGCCATGAAAAATTGTTTAAAAGGGAATTTGTGTAAACAAATTTCTCAGCATGATCATTTCCTTAAGCTTAGGAGTGGTATATTGCTGAATTCCCTAAATTCTACATTGCTTAATGTTTTCCACCAAAGAGGACTAGGACAATTCAAAAATTGCCATTAAATCTGGTTGAATGGCAGATATAGTCAAACACTCCTGTGAAAAAAGTAAAGTCAGCAGGTCATCTTCATACATAATAATATCCATAACAATTATGTATCAGGTAAAAGTTATACAATCACTGAAAAATCTCTTTAGCACACTTTGCATTCAAGCGTTCATCCCTGACACCATCTCACCACTGTTAATTTTAATTTAAACAGTGAGGGTTTGCCTGACTCCTGATGGTATTTATCTAGAGTTTTCTCACTGCTTGATAGAATAAGCTGAGGATTCGGTAGTCATTTATTTTTGACCTACAGCTACTTATTCAGTTTTTCAGGCAATTCTTGTTCTTTTATTACTTTGTGAGTAAATAGGACATCTTCCCAAGTAGCCACAGAATCATGAGAAGGCCTGCTACCAATTTTTTCTCTTTGAAAAGTGAGGCTTGTACCAGCGATGAGAATAACTGCTAGAGAATAAGATTTTTGCTGCCTTTTAAAAATTACTTTCTTCACTGTTTAATTCCCTTAACCTATTTATAAAGCTTTAAAGCTATTACCTTTAAATTCGGTTGGTGAGACATTTCATCATCTGCTTCAAAACTTGCCACTTACTAGCAAATATACATAGCCTCACTTCTTGGCATTAAATCTTTATCATACTTATCCTCTCCTTTTTTTTCTTCTAAATGGGTACGTTAGTTATGATAATTAGTGGGTTTCAATACAATCCTGCCCAATAGCATCAGTCTGAGCAAAAGAGTGTTTATAAATAAGACTTAAATTAATCAGAAACATGGCTCAATATCAAGCTTTGCTATTAAACTCAAGCATACAAACAATCAAGAATGCAGAGGAATCAGGAAGGAATCTGGGATATTCAATGTAAGTCACCACATCTTCCTTCCTGCATTGAGAATTCCCTCTAGGCCAGCTCAAAATATAAGGCTTCTAAGAGAGAGGTGTGATTGTCTCTTTCACACAGCTAGAAACTTTCAAGTTATCAAACATCTCAATTTTTTACTCAGATCATTATGTAGCTTATGTAACATTATACAGAAAGCCATATCCCATTACTCATAGTGTCTAGGAAATTTAAAATAGCAATCCTAAGCCATGAATCTCCTGTTAAAGAATTACATGACTCAAGATTTTCTTCTTCATTTTCTCTTAGTTTGTTTGTTAAATAATCCACTTGCAAGGAGATTATACCAAAGTCACCTACCTTCTTTCTTCCTAAAGCCTGTTCCCCCAGTGACGGAAAAGAATGGATAGCAAGCCTGCTGATTATCTGCTTTCTCATTACCATAAGGCATAAATCTTTCATATTCTTTATTTGACTTAGCCCTTTCTCTTTCCAGGTTTCCGCTATTATCATTGACACTTTTTAATTCAGAGTTTTTGATCTAAACTCTTCCCCAGCAGAGTATTTCTTATAAAAAATTAGAATAATCAATAATATAAGAAAATGTGATATGACCATATGCACTTTTTTATTGTGAACTTGAAAATTTGTTTGATTAGGTAACTGATTCTTAAGCTATTTGAGGAGCAAGTCTAAATGCTGATTTTAAAATAGTGACATAAAACATTGGAACTAAATAAAATAACTATTGCAATTCATTAGCAACATTACCACATATTTATAAACATAAAGCAATTAAGAAGTAAAAGGTAATAGCCAGATGTATATCAATAAAGAAACTTTTATTTTCTAATGAATTATTTATTTAAATGAAGATTAGCCTTTTTGAAAAAATGTTTCCTTTTTGATATGCATGCAATAAATGATATGCATTATTTTAATGAAAAAATAAAACAATTCTTGAGTTAAAGCTTGTAAGAACATATTGAAAACCACATTTGACTGTTCATTTCTCAGTAGCCATTGGATATTAGTCATGCAATTGGTTCAGGTGAGGGAAAAAAAAAAAGCAAGGAAACATAAATAACAGAAGGGTAATTCGGGTTTAAGAGGACAATTGGAGTAGAATTATACAACTCCTCCCCATATTAGCTAAAAAAAAAGTAAAAATGTAAAACCAACAGACTTCTATTTCTGAAATTTTCTGTATAAAACATGAGATGGCAACTCTAAAACACACTGGAGTACAAATAAGAGAAATGTTTTAAGGGGACATCCAACATCCAACCCTCCTGGATGATAGTTTCACTCAGAGTTCTACTAATAGTGTATATCAAAGATTTAAGTTTTATTATAATTTTAGCTTTATTCTCATATAATTTTGTTTCACTATTAAATAGTATAAGTTAAGAAGAGAAAGTAAGATTACATGAGATTAGCTTCCTGTCGGTGTTGGAAATGGAGCTGAAATGCATATTTTTGGAAATATAAGTAAAAGAAAAAACAGAAATCAGGATTTAAAAATACTGATATATTTGAATATGCAAGTATGCAATAATTTCAAAGGAACAGCTAATAATAAATTATCTTTTTATTTTGTTTTATTTATTTATCTATTTATTTTGTGAGACAGTGTCTCACTCTGTCAGGCTGGAGTGCAGTGGCAGGATCATGGCTGACTGCAGTCTTGACTTCCTGAGCTCAAGCAATCCTCCTGTCTCAGGCTCCTGAGTAGCTGGAACTACAGGCATGTGCCACTATGCCCAGCTAATGTTTTTAAAAGTTTGGGGGGAAACGGGGTCTTCTATGTTTTCCAGGCTGATCTGAAACTCCTGGACTCAAGCGATCCTCTTGCCCCAGCCTCCCAAAGTGCTGGGATTACAGGCATGAGATTCTGCCCAACCAAGTTATCCTTTTTAGAGACAAGATATTTTGGAAAGCCATTTGATTTTCCTCAAAATAGAACTGTCTTTATAGAAAAGAGTCAAGGATAAAAATAAAATAAAAGATAGATATAAAGTAAAAAAAAAAAGATAGGAAATGGAAAATCAGTGAGATATAGCAAGAATCTAAAGAAATAAAAAATGTGATTACATTGGAGGAAGTAAAGAGCAGCATTTACAGAGGAAAAATCAAATCCAAAAACATGAATTAGTGAATGAGAAGAAAAAAATGTACCATAATATGGACTAAAAATAATCATGAGCAAAGCAAAAATAACAGGAAACATGGTAGATATGATCAATAAGAATGAGAGAATGCAATTGTTGTGAATTAGAATAATTAGAAATATAATAATCAAATTTCATAGGCTGAATTTAATGTAAACATAACCAAAGAGCAGTTTTAATCACACTCTAATTTATTGAATGTATGTTATATAATATAAACTGAGCTAAGACTTTGCAAACATTATCTCATGTAAACTTTAAATAACACTGATGTAATTAGCATTACTTAATTGTCACTTAAATGGGATTTAATTGTCTCTTGGAGGCATATGTTTTAGAAAGTATGCTTGTGTATCATGCATCATCTGTTATCTTCCTGCCATCACCTTCCCACTTCCATGTCTCAGTCAATTTCCAACAACATGTGCTATAGATTTTGCATCCATTTATTCAGGTTCACAGCCTCAATTGAAGTATCTGCCTTTAAACAGTCTTAGCCCTTTGAAATATTTGTCTAGTATAATCCTGATATATTCTCCTTGCCCTCTGGAGCCTCATGAGATTCCTGAGTTAGCTTTTTTTTTTTTTTTTGAGATGGAGTCTCACTCTGTTGCCCAGACTGGAGTGCAGTGGCGTGATCTCAGCTCACCAAAACCCCCGCCTCCCAGGTTCAAGCGATTCTCCTGCCTCAGCCTCATGAGTAGCTGGAATTACAGGCACAAGCCACCACGTCAGGCTAATTTTGTATTTTTTTAGTAGAGGCAGGGTTTTTCCATGTTGGTCAGGCTGGTCTCAAACTCCCGACCTCAGGTGATCTGCCCGCCTCGGCCTCCCAAAGTGCTGGGATTGCAGGCATAAGCTACCGCGCCCCACCCCTGAGTTAGCTATTTTCCCCAGTGATGTGTGGTTGGAGTATGAGGTGTCTATGAGGAGAGTTGAAAGATCAAGGTTTTGTGTTTGCATTTTTGGTTTTTGTTTGTTTCACTTAGTTTTCTTAAAGTATCTGGGCAAAATTTTATGCTAGTATTGGCAGGAAGGTAACTTCCCATCCCACAGAACTCAGCTTATTTGGTCTTGTCCCATATAACAGGATAATTAATAAATGTGACCTTTAAAATTGTATTTCTTCATTACTGTCCACAATTTTCACTGGCAGCAGGGACTTCTAGATATAAGGGACACATCCTTTGCATTACAATTACTGAAAACAAAACAGAAACAAAAGTCAAAATCTTGGTCAGATTTTGAAACATCAAGATATGTGCAAAATATTTGGTTTTAGAGTAACTTTGCAAAAGTTTCCAAAGAGATCATTTATGTGAGGTTATGTAGCCAAGTTAGTCTATGTAACTGGTTAAACCAGACATAAGGCATGTATCTACAGGATCCTAAACAGTATAAACAAAATGACTCAGGATGCCACCCGGGGTGTTTAGAACTTTAAACAGCATATCATGAATCAGTTGCTTGCTTATCTTATCCTGTCTTGGCCAAAAGTCAGTACCAAACTTCCGTGCATCCTGAGAATAAGCACAGAATTATCACAGTCCAGTTTAAGGCAACTGTTGTAAGCAAGTACTATAGTTTAAATGTCCTCTTCAGAACTGATGTTGAAGCTTAGCCTCACTGTGGCATTACTGAAATGTGGGGCCGTTAAGAGGGGATTAAATCATGAGGGCTGTGACCTCATAAATGGATTAACCCATTTATGGATTAAGAGGTTGATATAGTTTGGCTGTGTCCCCACCCAAATCTCATCTTGAATTGTAGTTCCCACAATCCCCATGTGTTGTGGGAGGGACCCAGTGGGAAGTAATTGAATTGTGGGGGTGGTTACTGCCATGCTGCTGTTCTTGTGATACTGAGTGAGTTCTCAGGAGATCTGATGGTTTTATAAGAGCCTTTTTCCCTTTTGCTCAACACTTCTTTCTGCCACCATGTGAATAAGGATGTGTTTGCTTCCCCTTCCACCATGATTGTGTTTCCTGAGGCCTCCCTAGCCTTGCTGAACTGTGAGTCAATTAAACCTCTTTCCTTAATAAATTGCCCAATCCTGAGTATGTCTTTATAAGCAACATGAAGAGGTTATCACAGGAGGGGAACTGGTGGCTTTACAAGAAGAGAGATCCTAGCTAGCACCTTAGCATGCATAGCCCTCTTGCCATGTGATGCCCTGTGCCACTCTGCAGAGAGTTCCCATGGCAACAAGGCTCTCATCAGATGTGCCCTCTGCACCTTGGACTTCCCAGCCTCCATAACTGTAAGAAATAAATTCCTATTCTTTGTAAATTACCCAGTTTCCTTGACCGTTATAAGCAAGAGAAAACAGCAAGTGTGGGACAGTAAAATTATTCATAGACTATCTAGTCATTCAAAGCTATTTTTCCTTTCCCCATATCTGCTGATCACTACCCAAGCACACAACATTACCTGCTCTGTGAAAGATTTGGAGATATTGTAACAGTTTCTGTTGCAGGGGCTTTTCCATCAACTTGGTTTTGGGACTTGTCCTCAACATAATGAACTCCCAGAAAACCTTAGAGTTTAGAAAGGACAAGAGGAGCATCCCTAACTGTGATAGGCAATAGTCTGGTTCATATTTTCTGTGTCACAATGACAGGGAGCAGCTGAGTGGAAAAATCTGTATGGGATGACAGAGACATTGACTCCCTGAGGTGTGACCAGCACAATGCTGTCATCCCGAAGGGGCATACAAAACAAGCAGATGTTTCCTCATGGTTTCAAAGAGTCTGGAAGTTCTCTCATATGGAAGAATTACCTCCAGCTGAGTAAATTACCGTTGATGACATAGCAAATGTATGCCTATAGAGAGAGCATCAAAACCAATCTGCATTCATCTCATGGAACACTAATATGTTCCCAGAATCAGGTGGACTGATTATTCATCATTGTTTATAGCTAGCAAGAGTCACTCCCTGACAATCCAATGATGTGGCATTAATTCTGATTTAAAACTGAGCAATCCTAAGTTGTTTGAAGCCATCTGAAAGTGACTAGTATAAGATGGTATGTTTATGTGAGTTGGTGGAAGACATTCATTCATTTTCTCATTCAGTGATTATTTATTAAACCCCTACTCTGTGCTAAGCACAATTTATGTTCTATGAAAACCCTATCTATTACATCGGCTTCAGCCTGGATAAGTTTATTTTCAGTAACACGCTATGGGAGGTAGAAAATACTGCCTCTCTCAAATGTTTCTGAATTAGTTTTACTAAACAAGCAAGGTGCCCTTGGTTTTTTAAATACAAATTAGTTTCCTACAGTAATATTTTCAGGTTAATTGTTCTTACCAGTTTAATAGTACCTCGTTTTTCAAAATCAATTCCACTGTTCTATGTTGTTTGTCTTATTTCAGATCTCTCATGATTTAACAGATATGTAGACAATGGTTCTGCTCCCTGTTAGTGTCTGAAAAGAAGAAATGTTTTCGTCACTGAAAAAAAGCAATAATTCCTGGATATCTACTAGGGTGTTATTGGATATTTCCTTAGTAAAAGAGGCATTTGGGCTTGGGCCAGGTCCTGAAAACCACATATCAAATGTCATCACTTTTTATAACCTTTTATAACCTTTTGGTAGGATATTCTAATAGCAGCTTTAACAATTGTGAATCTCCTGGCCCTGCATATTCTTCAAATATCTAGTTTTTAATAATGTGTACCATTAATCAATTTTGCATTATTTTAAATAGATAGCTCCTTTTTAACTGCTACTATAGGATCCTGGGAATCTTTTCAGGGAAAGTGAAGCAAGTTAAAAGCCTCTGAAAATGTTCAAGTCTTTTGCCAGTATCTTTCTTCAACTTTTAGAAAAAATACATTATATCATGTTCTAGGAATTATGCCATCCATCCTATACATACTCTCATTTTTTACTAGGTAATTTGTCAAAAAAATCTCCTTTCTTTTTTTTTTTTTGCAACTGAGTCTCGCTCTGTCACCCAGGCTAGTATGCAGTGGCACAATCTTGGCTCACTGCAACCTCTGCCTCCTGGGTTCTCCTGCCTCAGTCTCCTGCCTCAGTCTCCTGACTAGCTGGGATTACAGGCATGCACCACCATGCTTGGATAATTTTTGTTTGCATTTTTATTAACAGTAGAGATAGGGTTTCTCCATTTGGCCAGGCTGGTCTCAAACTCCTGGGCTCAAGTGATCCAGTCGCCTCAGCCTCCCAAAGTGCTGGGATTACAGGGTGAGCCACCATGCCTGGCCATGTGTGTTTTTTACAAATTAGTTTTACTTTTATTTCTTCTACTTAATGATAGGGAAAAAGCCATGCATGCATGCCTAAACAATTCTCTATGGTATATTATTGTTCTTATTTTAATAAAACATAATTAGGATAAACATCTTCATAAATATACTTAGAAGTATGTGTTTTTTATATTTTCTAAGTAGAAAAAAACTGCATTAGGATAATTGTGCCAAAAAGTATGCATATTTAATTTAAAGGAAATCATCATTTGCTTGCCGCATTTTTTGAATAAATTCACACATCGATTAGGAGTTAATATTTCTATTATTGCTTCCCAACATCATCTATAATCATTATTTTGTCACTGTAAATTTGAGAATATATATATATTTATTAACAGTAGAGACAGTATATATACATATGTATAAATATATATGTATATATACTTTTCTAAACTTTTGGTAACCAGTTAAAATAAATATTTTTGCTTATTTGTTATTTATAATTTCTTTTGTGAAATGAGATTACCTTCTGAATACGGTTTTCAATTAGTGTTTGTTTTTGTATTTAAGTCTAAGAGCTCATTTCATATTAACAATACTAGTTGATACATATATTAAAACAATTTTACCTGTTCATATTTTTTGCATTAACTTTTGACATTTTTCAGATTCCAGCTAAAATTTATAATAGATTAAGTTTAAAAATAATCATTAGACTTGATTTAAGAAAGTGATATTGGGAGAATCGACATATTTACAATATTAAACATTTCCTTCCAATAACTTGGTGAAATTATTCCTCTATTTAAATTACTTATGTCACATCCTGAAGATATAATATTTTATTGATATAAATCCTACAAATTTATTGTAATTTCACACAATATTTTAAATTGTTGTTGTTACTATTTCTCTTCATTTTATTTTCTCTTGTCACTGTCATAGACAAGGAAAACTAGTATCATCTGAGTTACTCTTATAAATCTTTTCTGTTCTTGAACTTTATATAATTGGAATCATACCAGATGCACATTTATATATTTGACTTTTGTAGTTGATATAATATATTTCAGAACATACAAGTTGCTGAATACATCAGTGTTTTATTTTTTAATTGCTGAGCAGTATTGGGTTGCATGAATATACCCCAATTTGTTGATCAGTTCCCCTGTTGGTTATTGGGCTATCATAAATAAAACTTAAATGAATAATTTTATACATGTATTTGAAGAGAGCATTGACATATATGTGCAAATGCCGAAGAATGCACTTACTCTGTCTTAGGTTAGGTGTATTATTAATTTTATTCAAAATTGCCAGAGAGTTTATTAGAAAAGTAAAATAATTTTTGCTTCAAATTACAATATTTTGCACACCCGATTTTTAAAAATTTACTTAACTATAGCTTTTCTATTATATATATAGTATCCTATCCTGAGATTTCCACCTACATTTTACTAAAGCATAATGTGTTGAGCAAGATTTTAAGTTTTTTGAATATACAAGCATCTAATTTTGTGAAATGCCTGTTTTTCTTTTACCTATTTTGTATTGGTTCATTCTGCTCATTGATTTATAATATATGTGTAAATATATATAATAGATAATGAGTTCTTTTTAAATATACACTCTCTAAATATTTTATTCCAGCCTATGGCTTTTTCACTTTTTTACATTGATTTTTTTTTTGTAACTATGCATTTTTGTTTGTTTTGAATTAATAGATTTTTATTTTTAGAGAAGTTTTAGGTTTACAGAAAAATTAAGCAGGAAATACAAAGAGTTTCTATATCCTCCCTCTACACCTTGCCCCCAGTAGAATTTTTCATATTATAAATACCTTTCATTATCATGGTACATTTTAAAAAATGATATTCCAATATTACTATATTATTATTAACTAAAGTGCATAGTTCCCATCGGGGTTCATTTTTGTGTGTGTTGGGCAGTTCAATGGGTTTTCCCAAATGGATAATGTCTTGCATCCACCATTTTGATATTATACAGACTAATTTCACCACCTAAAAATTCCCCTGTACCCCATCTATTCCTCTCTCCCTAACTCCTCCTGAGGTCCTGGCAATCACTGAACATTGTACTTGCTTCATAGTTTTGCCTTTCCCAGATGTCATATAATTAGAATCC
The DNA here is from genome assembly GCF_000001405.40 of Homo sapiens. Lineage (NCBI taxonomy): Eukaryota > Metazoa > Chordata > Mammalia > Primates > Hominidae > Homo > Homo sapiens. The sequence goes on along the minus strand of NC_000005.10, from coordinate 26,937,738 downwards.
TATGGTATATAGTCTTTTTCAGACTAGCTTCTTTGTCTTAGCAACATGAATTTAATTTCCTTCTATATATTTTTGTAGATTGACAGCTCATTATTTATTACTGAATAATATTCCATTATAGGGATGTACCATGATTTATTACTTCAACTATTGAGAGACATCTTGTTTGATTCCAGTTATGCATAAAGTTGCTATACATATTCATGCAACAGGCTTTTCAACCAGGTAATATAATTGCTAGATCATATGCTGTGACTGTTTAGCTTTGTAGGAAACTCACAAACTGTCCACCAAAGTAACTTTAATATTTTATTAAAGCATTTTACCAGTAATGACTGAGTTCTCATTGCTCCAAATCCTTACTGGCATTTAATGTTGTCAGTGCTTTGGACTTTATGCATTCTGATAGGAGTGTAGTGCTGTCTCATTGTTTTAGTTTGCCATTCACTAATGAAATATGATGTTGCACATTTTTGATATGCTTATTTGCCATGTGTGTCTTCTTTGGTGAGGTGTCTGTTCAGATCTTTAGCCATTTTCTAATTGGGCTATTTATTTTCTTAAGAGTTCTTTGTACATTTTGGATACAAGTCTTTTGCCACATGTGTGTTTGGCTAACATTTTATTTTTCAGTGTGTGGCTTTTCTTTATATTACCCTAGCACTATCTTTCACTAGGTAGATGGTTTTAACTTTAATGAAGTTCAATTTACCAATTTTTCTTTCATGGATCATTCTTTTGGTGTTGTATCTAAAAAATATTTCAAACCCGAGTGACATACTCTGTCCTATGTTATTGCCTAAAAGTTTATACATTACATTTTACTTTTAAGTCTATTATCTAAAAACACATTTTGAGTGGTGTGTGTGTGTGTGCGTGTGTGTGTGTGAAGGCTATAAGGTCTATATTAATTTTTCAATGCAGATGCCCAGTGTCCAGAATAATTTGTTGAAAAGACTGTCTTTTCTTGTTTGTGAGAGATCAGTTGACTATATTTGTTTGAGTATATTTCTGGGATCTGTATTCTGTTTCATTGATCTATTTGTTTACTTATTCACCAGTACCACACTGTCTTGATTACTGTATTTTTATAGTAAGTCTTTACTTTGAGTAATGTCAGTTATACAACTTTCATTTTCTCCATATTATGTTGGCTATTCTGAATTTTTTACCTTTTCATGGAAACATTATATGTAGTTACCTTTGCTTTAACTTTGAGTGGAATTGCATTGAATCCATAGATCAAGTTGGAAAGACTCTTTAAAATACTGAGTGGTCCTATTCAGCAACATGAAATATTTATTCAGTTTCCATTTATTTAGTTTCTTGATTTCTTCCATCAGAAGTTTTATACTTGTACATATATTGCTAAATTTATACCTAAGTATTTTACTTTTTTGGCATTAATGTAGATAATTTTGTCTTTTTAATTACAATCTCAAGTGGTAATTGCTATAGAAATATACTGAATTTTGTATATTTTAAAAATTTTTATTTAAATGGCTTGCGGATACAGGCGGTTTTGGCTACAAGCATAAGTTCTTTAGTGGCGATTTCTGAGATTTTGGTGTACCCATCACTCTAGCAGTGTACACTGTACCCAATATGTACACTTTTTTCTCTCACCCCCCCACTCTTCCCCACCAAATCCTCAAAGTCCATTATATCATTCTCACGCCTTCACATCCTTATAGCTTAGCCCCTACTTATGAATGAAAATGTATGATATTTGGTTTTCCATCCCATTATTTGGCCTTTCCATAATAGTCTCCAGCTGCATCCAAGTTGCTGTGAAAGACATTATTTCATTCCTTGTCATGGCTGAGTAGTAGTCCATGGTATATATATATGCCACTTTATTCATTTGTTGATTGATAGGCACTTAGGTTGGTTCCATAGTTTTGCAATTGCAAATGGTGCTGCTATAAACATGCATGTGCATGTGTCTATTTCATATAATGACTTCTTTTTCATTGGTTAGATACCCAGTAGTGGGATTGCTGGATCCAATGGTAGTTCTACTTTTAGTTCTTTAAGGGATCTTCATACTGTTTTCCATAGTGGTTGTACTGGTTTACATTCCCTCCAGCAGTTTAAAAGTATTCCCTGTTCACCACATCTCCACCAACATCTATTCTTTTTTGACTTTTTAGTTGTGGCCATTCTTGCAGAAGTAAACTAGTATCTCATTGTAGTTTTAATTTGCATTTCACTGATTAGATCCAGAAGTTTGTTTTTTTGGATACTTTGAGATTTTGTACAGGAACAATCATATTATATGTGCACAAAGAGAGTTTTATTTCTTCCTTCACAATCTGTGTACTTATTATTTTCCTTTCTTGTGTTATGGCATTAGGTAGGATGTCTAGTAATATGTTGAATAGGAGTGATTAAGAGGGTACATTCTTGCCTTGTTTCTCATGTTAGGGGTAAAGCATCTAGATTTTCACCATTAAGTATATTGGCTGTACAAATTTTTGTAGATGTCCTTTGTCATCATTTAGAAAATATTCTCCTTTATTTTTAGCTTGCTCTTACTGGCTTTTTATCATGAATATCTTTTGGAAACTGTTAAGTACTTTTTCTAAATCTATTTGTATGATCATATGACTTTTTTTAGCCTCTTGATATGACAGATTACCTAATTCACTTCTGAGTGTTCAATCAGTCTTGCATACCTGGAATAACCCCCAATTGGTCATGTTGTAATTATTTGTATACACTATTGGATTATATCTGATAATTTATTTTGATAATTTTTACATCCATGTTCATGAGAGACACTGGTCTGTGTTTTTTTTTTTTCAGTATCTTTATTTTTGTATTAGAGTAATTATGGCTTCCTATGGTTAAGATGTGCTCTTCTGCTTCTACTTTCTGAAACAGATTTTAGAGAATTTGTAGCAATTCTTTCTTAAATGTTGGATAGAATTCACCATTGCAGCCATCTGGGCTGGTGCTTTCACTTTTTTAAGGATATTAATTGTTAATTCATTTTCTCTGTAAGCCTATATAGACTAGTTCTCTTGATGTAACAGTGGTAGATGATGGCATTTAATGAATTGGTTCATTTCATCTAAGTTCTCAAATTTGTGGCACAGAATGGCTTGGATATAGTTTGTTTGACTACACCAAGTCTCATGTTGAAATGTGATCCCCATGGTTGGAGGTGGGGCCTGGTGGGAGGTGATTAGATCAAGGAGGCAAGCCCCTCACTAATGACTTGGTGCTATTCTCCCAGGAGTGAATGAGTTCTTACTATTTTTTTGTTTTTTGAGATGGGTCTTGTTCTGTAGCCGAGGCTAGAGTGCAGTGGCACAATCACAGTTCACTATAGCCTCAATTTCCCAGGCTCAAGCAATCCTACCACCTCATCCTCCCTAGCATCTGGGACTACAGGGCATACCACAATGCCTGATTAATTTTTGTAATTATTGTAGAGATGGAGTCTCATGATGTTGTTCAGGCTGGTCACAAACTCATGGGGTCAAGACATCTGCCTGCCTCAGCCTCCTAAAATGTTGGGATTACTGGTTGGAGTCACCACACCTGGCCTTGAGCTCTTACTCTCAGTTCCATCAAGAACTGGTTGTTGAAAAGAACCTAGCACCTTTCTCCCCTCTCTCTTTCTTCCTTTCTTGCCATACAATGCCTGTTCTCCTTTGCCTTCTGCCATTAGTGGTAGCCATCTGAGGCTCTCATCAGATGCAGATGCTGGCACCATGCTTCTTATACAACCTGAAGAACTTTGAGCCAAAGAAACCACTTTTCTTTATAAATTACTGGGGATCAGGAATTCCTTTATAGCAATACAAATGGACTAAGGCAGAATTGTTTATAATATTTGTTTACTATCCTGTGTTCATGGGATTAGTCGTGATATCTAATAGTAGTAATGTGTCTTCTCTCTTTTTTTCTTATTATTTTGTTTTATTTTATTTTATTTTATTTTATTTTATTTTGACGGAGTCTTGCTCTGTCGCCTGGCTGGAGTGCAGTGGCTTGATCTCAGCTCACTGCAACCTCCGCTTCCCTGGTCTGGGTTCAAGCGATTCTCCTGCCTCAACCTCCCAAGCAGTTGGGACTACAGATGCGCGCCACCACGCCCAGCTAATTTTTGTATTTTTAGTAGAGATGGAGTTTCACCATGTTGGCCTGGATGGTCTCGATCTCTTGACTTGTGATCCACCCGCCTCGGCCTCCCAAAGTGCTGGAATTACAGGCGTGAGCCAGTGCACCCTGCCTTCTTTTTTTTTTAGTTAGCCTGGCTAGAGTTTTATCCATTTTATTTGTATGTCCAGCTTTTAGTTTCATTGATTCCTTTTATGATCTCTCATTGTCGATTTCATTGACTTCTTTCCCTTTTTCCTATTTATTTTTTTGGACTTAACAAAAACAAATATTTTTCATGGTTCTAGAGGATGGAAGTCCAAGATCAAAGTGTCAGCAATGCTGAATTTACCTCAGGTTTAATTTACTCATCTTTTGTAGTCTCCCAAGGTGAAATTTTACCATGAATTTTATATTATTTTATTTCGTAATACATTTATGCAATTATATAAAATCATATATATTTATTAATTATATATATTCAAGTTAAATATAACTATATTTATATTTTTAAAATTATATTTGTATAATATAAATAGAATTATATTTGTATAATATAAATAGAATTATATTTATATTTAAGTAAAATATAAATAATACATTAATATAATATATTTACAAATAATATATCTAAATTTTATCTATATAATTATATATGTAACACATATAATACTCTAAAGCAAAACACCAAATATTTTAAATTATAATTAATTTGCTTAGAGTGGAAAGGAAATGGAATCATAGACAAAGCTCAATTATACCTAGACAAGGCAGGAAAAAATTGGAAACTAACATAAAGACTGAACAAGACAAACAATCAGGGACATTAATAGAAAATACTTACAAATATGATGGATATGAATCCAATAAGACAATAATTTATTTAAATGTGAATAGTCTAAATATACAAATGACAGAAATAGAGTGTATTTAAAATTCAAGACTCAGCAATATGCTGTCTTCAATAAACACGCTTTAAATATAAAGTCAAATATAGATTAAAGAGATAAAGACATTCCGAAGCTAACTCTAATCAAAGAAGATAGAACAAGGAAAATTATCATAGATAAGTTGGAACATTACATAATGATAAGAAGATTGGTCATTTGGGTAAACAACAATTCTTAACATGCATGCACTAATCAGAACACCATCAAAATGGATTTTCTTTTGATGAGATCTTAATTTTGATGACATTACAAATATTTTGTTTTTTTTTCTTTTATTGTTAATGCATACTGGGGCTCGTATGAAAAATATTTGCTGCTTTGCATACCATTATATTCAGGTCTTTTTTCTCAGATTACTCTTTTTGTCTATTAAATTTGTAAAAAAATAATTTTTTGAAAGATATTTTTACTGAACAAATCTGCCTTCTAGTATTTTTGATATGAAGTCAAGTGTCTCTCTTGTTCTGTTTTCTGAGCATATGTTTATTCCTTGGATGCTTTTAAGATTTTTTTGACAATAAAATCAAACTAAAAACCAATAATAAAAAAATGATATTCAAATATTTGAAAAGTAATAACACTTCTAAATAATCACTGATGTTATCATGAAGAATTTAGAAAATACAAATATTTTATCTAAAACTTTAGCTTTTATCAATTTGACTATGTTGTGCCTATGCTTACATTTATTTGTAATTATCTTGGTTGAAATTCACTGAACATAGATGTGAGGATTGACCTTCTAACTTGAAACAGGTCACCATTATCTCTTTTTAAAAAATTCTTCTGTGCCATATTCTTTTCTCCATTTTCTGATTGCAAATTTTCGTATATTCTTTGAAGTCTAATTACATGCATGTCTGTTAATACCCATGTCTGGGTTGACTGCACTTCTGCTTCCATTGGCATACCACACACACATACAGACACACACACACACTTCGTATACATATATTTCATAGCACGCATTCTTCTGGTACTTCCTAAGTGTAGTAATTTTTATATTACTTTATTCTGGACATTTTCATGATACAATGCCCTTCCATGTCTTGATTTTAAGCTTTGTTTAAGTGGGTCTATTTTAGCTTGAATTTTTTTCTTATGATGTACTCTTTACTCACGCAATGTAGGTTTTACTTCTAATGCATGATTTTTGTCAAATCTTATCTTAATGTTCACAATGTTTATTTGAGACTAGACCATTCTGGTGTGTCAAAACTTTCACCTCTTTCTGTATTTTATACCCTCTGAAATTAGTTGTTAAAATTTCAGGCATACTGTTCATGCACAGTTTATGATTCCAATACAAATGTTAACAAAACTCTTACAAAGATATCTTGATTGGGCTCTTCTCTGTGGCTCTTTTCCCTTTGTACTCTGCCCAGACAACTGGTTCCACAATAGCAGCCCTGAACTCTGATCTGTTTTCTCCTCGCAGCAGGATTTCCAGTCTCTGCACATACTCTACTTCCCTGCAGTAAAATTCTTGTCCAGACAGAATGCTAGAGGGAATGTATACCTTGTCATGTTGCTTCTTTTCTGCTGTCCAATTTCTAAAAACAGTGAATTTACATATTTTGTCCAGGTTTGTCGTGGTTTGCTATGAGAGCTCAAGTACAGGTAATGCATATTAGCCTAAACTGAAAATCTTTATAGTGGAAATACATTGCATAGAAGTAGGATTATAATTGGTTTTCTTTTATCTTAAAACCACAAAATAATATGCTAATTATGAAGCTAATATCTAATATGAGATGGCTTAAAGATACAAGCTAATATGTCTAAAATAAACAAAGAAATACATTTATGGCTGAAGTGAAACACACTATTCTAAAACATGTCTTGGAAATGTATTTTATCATTATTGTATTATAATGATTAAAATTACTCTATGGTTTTCCTAATTAAAATTGGACAAGAAGTTAGAAAATTTAAAATATGTTTAAGAAAAGTTAAGAATAGCTGATGATAAGAGTTGAGCTGTTTGTTATACCTTTGCAATTAATAACAGGTTAAAAAAGAAGTAAAATGACAGTTACATCACTACCACCATGATGTTAGTAAACCTATCCATCACAGCTCTATGCATATGTCCAACTGATCAAATTACATTTCCCCCTTGAACAACATGGGTTTGAATTGTGCAGGTCCACTTATATGCAGATTTTTTTCAACCAAACGTGGATGAAAAATAGAATGTTTGCAGGATGTGAAACCCAAATATATGAAGGGCCAACTTTTCACATATGTGATTTCCACAGGGCCAACTGCATGACTAGAGTATGCTTGAATTTTGGCATATATAGAGCCCTGAAACCAATCCTCCATCTATACCAAGGGACAATTTTATATACATTAAACATGTGCAGTTTTTATTGGCTATCAATTATATCTCCATAAACTTATAACAAACAAAAAGATGAAACCAACATCCAAAGCAAACCTTACTCCTAATTTTTAAAAAAACAAACTTGATTGGGAAGTAATTTGTCCTAATTTAAAAAATATTTCTATATAATTATTTTGAATTTTTTATATTTATGTAGGTACATAATGTGTGGATATATTTATGGGGCACATGAGATATTTTGATACAGGCATACAATGCACAATAATCACATCAGGGTAAATGGCATGTCCACTACCTTAAGCTTTTATGCTTTCTCTGTGTTATAAACAATCCAATTATACTCTTTTAGTTATTTTTAAAAGTGCAATGAATTATTTTTGACAATCCTTGTTGTGCTGTCAAATACTAGATCTTATTCATTCCCCCTAACTATATTTTTGTACCCATTAACCACTCCCCTTCCTCCCCATTCGATACTAAACTTCCCAGCCTCTGGTAACCATCATTCTACTCTCTGTCTCCATGAACACAATTGTTTTAATTTAGAGATCTAACAAATAAATGAGAATATGTAAAGTTGGTTTTTCTGTGCCTGGCTCATTCCACTTAACATAATGACCTCCAGTTCCATCTGTGTTTTTGAAATGACAGAATCTCGCTATTTTTTATGGCTGAGTAGTACTCCATTGTGTACATGTACCTCATTTTCTTTATCCATTTGTCTCTTGATGAACACTTAGGTTGCTTCTAAATCTTGGCTATGGTAAATAGTGCCTCAGTTAAACATGAGAGTGCAGATGTCTCTTCAACACATTGTTTTCCTTTATCTTGGCTATGTATGTATCTGTGGGATTGCCGAATCATATGCTAGTTCCATTTCTAGTTTTTTGAAGAACCTCTAAACTGCTTTCCACAGTGTTGGTACTAATTTACATTCCTGCCAACAATATACAAGGCGTGTCTTTTCCTGATATCCTCACCAGCATCTGTTATTGTTTGTCTTTTGGATAAAAGCCATTTAAATTGGAATTAGATGATATGTCATTGTAGGTTTGATTTGCATTTCTCTGATGATCAATGATGTTGAACACATTTTCATATACGTGTTTGCCATTTGCATTTATTCTTTTGAAAATGTTGATTGAGATATTTTGTCCATTTTTAAATCGAATACTTAGATTTTCTTTCTTACAGAGTTGTTTGAGCTCATTATATATTCAGTTATTAATCCCTTGTCAGATGAATAGTTTGCATTTTTTCTCATTCTTTAGGTTGTCTCTTTGCTTTGTTGATTGTTTCTTTTGCTGCACAGATGCTTTTTAACTTGATATAGTCCCATTCATCCATTTTTGCTTTTGTTGCCTGTGCTTATGGTGTATTGCTTAACTAATTTTTGCCCAAACCAATATCCTGGAGAGGTTATCAAATGTTTTCTTTTAGTAGTTTCCTAACTTGAAATCTTAGATTTAAGTTTTTAGTTCATTTTGATTTAATTTTTGTATATGGTGAGAGATAGGAGTCTAGTTTCATTCTTCTTTATATGGCTATCCAGTTTTCCCAACGTTATTTATTGAAAAGGCTGTCCTTTCCTCAGCATATATTCTTGGCACTTTTATTGAAAATGAGTTCTCTGCGGATGTATGGATTTATTTCTGGGTTCTCTATTCTGTTCGATTGGTCTATGTCTGTTTTTACACCAGTACGAAGCTATTCTGGTTACTATAACTCCGTGGTATAATTTGAAGTCAGGTAATGTGATTCCTACAGTTTGGTTCTTTGTGCTTAGGATAACTTTGGCTACTCTAGGTCTTCTGTGAGTCCATAAAAATTTTAAGATTCTTTTTCTATTCTTAAGAAGAATGTCACTGGTATTTACATTGGGATTACATTGACTCTGTGTATTGCTTTGAGTAGTGTGGATATTTTAACAATATTGATCCTTCCAAACTATGAACATAAAATTCTTTCTATTTTATTGCATCCTCTCCTTTCTTGCATTAATGTTTTATAGATTTTATTGCAGAGATCTCTCACTTCTTTCGTGAGGTAAACTCTTATGTATTTTATAGTACTTGTAGCTATTGTAAATGGGATAAGTTTCTTCATTTCTTTTTCAGAGTGCTTACTGTTGGAATATAAAAATGTTATTGTTTTTTGTATGTTGATTTTGTATCCTGCAATTTTACTGAATTGGTTTTATTAGTTCTAACAGTTTTTTGGTGGGGTCTTTAGGTTTTTCAAAATAGAAGATTATATCATCTAAAAATATGTATAATTTAACTTAAGTTACAGAAAGTGAAAAAGGAGTTTATTCTTCACACCTCTATATGAATCTGGTTTTGACAGAGTCAACTGTTTTCTCCTGCCATAAGGCGATGACAGCCACTAACTTGAGGAGCAGGGGTAAACAGTGCCCTTGACATAAATGTTTGTGCTGTGGGGGCCACTAATAAGAGAAGTAGGGGTGATGTTTTCAGACAGTGTCATGGAATTACAAGGGGTCCATTAATTCGATGTCCAGGAATTTAAATCATGCTTTATTAGATATAAGTTTATTTTACTGTGAAATGCAAACTCTTTAAGGGCAGAGTCCATATCTAGTTTGTTCAACACTTTATACTTAAAACCCAGCAGAGAATCTAGTGCAAAATCCTAAGAACTAACTTTCACAGAATGCTTAATGTAGACTAGACATAGTTCTCAGTAGCTGATTGGTTTTTATTACTTTATCCTCATGATACATGTGGGATGTGGGCCTTGGGGTACATAGAAGTTGCTAATGACCACAAACCCGGTATGTGATAGAGCCGGACTAGGTCTAAGTCCATTCCAAATATATTTCCTTCTAAATATAGAAGACCTAGAGTAGCCAAAGCTATCCTAATTATAATGGCATCCGCATTGGATGCCATTTATGTCTTTCTCTTGTTTAACTGCTCTGTGACTTACACTGCTATGTTGAATAACAGTGGTGAACTTGGGCATCCTTGTCTTCTCCAAATCTTAGAGGAAAGTATTTCACTTTTTCCCCAGTATACTAGCTGGGGATCTTTCATATATGGCTCATGTTGTGTTAAAGTATGTTTTTTTCTATCCCTACGTTTTTAGGGTTTTTATCATGAAGGGATGTTGAATTCTATTAAATGCCTTTTCAACATCATTATAAGTAATCACATGGTTTTCCCTTTATTCTGTTGATACACTATATCACATTGCTTGGGGTTGCATGTGCTGAACCATCCTTGCATCCCAGGAATAAACCCCACTTGGACATGATAAATATTCTTTTTAATCTGTTATTGAATTCAGTTTGCTAGAATTTGTTGAGGATTTTTGTGTCAATATTTATCAAGGATTTTGGCCTGCAGTTTTATTTTCTTTCTTTGTTTCTTTTTTTTTTGCGGGGGGGGGCTGTATTTTTGCCTGACTATGGTATCAGGGTAATACTGGCTTCACAGAATGAGTTTAGAAGTACTTCCTCCTTTCCCCATTTCTTGTTTTTGTCAGGTTTGTCAAAGATCAGATGGTTGTAGATGTGTGGCGGTGTTTCTGAGGCCTCTGTTCTGTTCCGTTGGTCTATTTATCTGTTTTGGTACCAGTACCATGCTGTTTTGGTTACTGTAGCCTTGTAGTATAGTTTGAAGTCAGGTAGCATGATGCCTCCAGCTTTGTCCTATTTTCTTAGGATTGTCTTGGCTATGTGGGCTCTTTTTTGGTTCCATATGAACTTTAAAGTAGTTTTTTTTTCCAATTCTGTGAAGAAAGTCATTGGTAGCTTGATGGGGATGGCATTGAATCTATACATTACCTTGGGCAGTATGGCCATTTTCATGATATTGATTCTTCCTATCCATGAGCATGAAATGTTCTTCCATTTGTTTGTGTGCTCTTTTATTTCGTTGAGCAGTGGTTTGTAGTTTTCCTTGAAGAAGTCCTTCAAATCCCTTGTAGGTTGGATTCCTAGGTATTGTATTCTCTTTGTAGCAATTTTGAATGGGAGTTCACTCATGATTTGTCTCTCTGTTGTCTGTTATTGGTGTATAAGAATGCTTGTGATTTTTGCACGTTGATTTTGTATCCTGAGACTTTGCTGAAGTTGCTTATCGGCTTAAGGAGATTTAGGGCTGAGACGATGGGGTTTTCTAGATATACAATCATGCCATCTGCAAACAGGGACAATTTGACTTCCTCTTTTCCTAATTGAATACGCTTTATTTATTTATCTTGCCTGATTGCCCTGACTAGAACTTCCAACACTACGTTGAATAGGAATGGTGAGAGAGGGCATCCCTGTCTTGTGCCAGTTTTCAAAGGGAATGCTTCCAGTTTCTGCCCATTCAGTATGATATTGGCTGTGGGTGTGTCATAAATAGCTCTTATTATTTTGAGATACGTTCCATCAATACCTAGTTTATGGAGAGTTTTTAGCATGAAGGCTGTTGAATTTTGTCAAAGGCCTTTTCTGCCTCTATTGAGATAATCATGTGACAAACCTGACAAAAACAGGAAATGGGGAAAGGATTCCATATTTAATAAATGGTGCTGGGAAAACTGGCTAGCCATATGTAGAAAACTGCAACTGGATCCCTTCCTTACACCTTATACAAAAATTAATTTAAAATGGATTAAAGACTTAAATTTTAGACTTAAAACCATAAAAACCCTGGAAGAAAACCTAGGCAATACCATTTAGGACATAGGCATGGACGAGGACTTCAGGACTAAAACATCAAAAGTAATGGCAACAAAAGCCAAAATAGACAAATGGGATCTAATTAAACTAAAAAGCTTCTGTATAGCCCAAGAAACTACCATGAGAGTGAACAAGCAACCTACAGAATGGGAGAAAATATTTGCAATCTACCCATCTGACAAAGGGCTGATATCTAGAATCTACAAAGAACTTAAACAAACTTACAAGAATAAAACAAACAACCCCATCAGAAAGTGGGCAAAGGATATGAACAGATACTTCTCAAAAGAAGACATTTATGCAGCCAACAGACACATGAAAAAATGCTCATCATCACTGGTCATCAGAGAAATGCAAATCAAAACCACGAGATACTATCTCACACCAGTTAGAATGGCGATCATTAAAAAGTCAGGAAACAAGAGATGCTGGAGAGGATGTGGAGAAATAGGAACGCTTTTACAATGCTGGTGGGAGTGTAAATTAATTCAACCATTGTGGAAGACAGTGTGGCAATTCCTCAACGATCTAGAACTGGAAATACCATTTGACCCAGTGATGCCATTACTGGATATATGCCCAAAGGATTATAAATCATGCTACTACAAAGACACATGCACACGTATGTTTATTGTGGCACTATTCACGATAGGAAAGACTTGGCACCAACCCACATGTCCATCAGTGATAGACTGGATTAAAAAAAGGTGACACATATACACCATGGAATATTATGCAGCCATAAAAAATGTTGAGTTCATGTCCTTGCAGGGACATGAATGAAACTGAAAACCATCATTCTCGGCAAACTATCACAAGGACAGAAGACTAAGCACTGCATGTTCTCACTTATAGGTGGGAACTGAACAATGAGAACATTTGGACACAGGGTGGGGAACATCACACACCGGGGCCTGTCTTAGGATGGGCGGCTGGGGTAGGAATAGATAGCATTAAGAGAAACACCTAATGTAAATCACGAGTTAATGGGTGCAGCAAACCAACATGGCACATATATACCTATGTAACAAACCTGCATGTTGTGCACATGTACTCTAGAACTGAAAGTATTACATATATATAAAATACTTATTTTATATATATAATATATATATATTTCCTCCTCTATTTTTTTAAATAGTTTGACTATAGTTGGTTTGAATTATTTTTAGATTGGTAAAATTCAGCAGTGAAGTCATTGATCTTGGGCTTTTCTTTGTTGGAACACTTTTTTAGCACAACTGCAGTCTCATTCATTATTATTCATCTGTTTAGGTTTTGGATTTCTTCATGGTCCAATCTTGGTGGGTTGAATGTGTCTGGAAATTTATTCATTTCTTCTAGGTTTTCCAATTTATTGGCACATAATTGCTCTTAGAACCTGTAATGATCCTTTGAATTTCTCTGGTCTCAGTCGTAATATGTCATTTTTTATCTTCGATTTTACTTATTTTACTTATTTACTTCTTTTTTATTTAGGCTGGATAAATGATTGTTGATTTTGTTTCTCTTTTCAACAAACCATGTTTCTGTTTCATTGATCTTCTGTATTGTTTTTCTTGTTTCAATTTCATTTATTTCTGTTCTGATCTTTATTATTTCTTTTGTTTTACTAACTTTGGGCTTGGTTTTCTCTTGCTTTTTCAGTGTCTTATGATGTATTATTAGGTTATTTGAAGTGTTTCTACTTTTTTGATATAAGTGCTTATTGCTATGAACTTTCCTCTTCCTATTGCTTTTTCTGTATTCTGTAGGTTTTCGTAGGTTTCATTAGTTTCAAGAACTTTTCTAATTTTCTTCTTAATTTATTCATTGACCCACTTATCATTGTGGAGCATATTGATTAATTTCGATGTGTTTGTATAGTTTCTAAAATTCCTCATGTGTTTGAGTTCTAGTTTTATTCCATTGTGGTCAGAGAACATGCTTGATATTATTTCAATTGTTTAGATTTTCAAAATATGTTTTGTGGCCTAACGTCTGATCTATCCTTGAAAATTATCAATAAGAATGTATGTTCTGCAGCCATTAGATAAAATCTTCTGTAAATATTGACTGTGTCCATTTGGTTTACAGTACAGATTAAGTTCCAATGTTTCTTTGTTGATTTTTTTGTCTAGATGATCTTTCCAATGCTGACAGTGGTGTGTTGAAGTCTCTAGCTATTATTGTATTAAGATCTGTTTTTCCCTTTAGCTCTAATAATGTTTGCTTTGTATATATAGGTGTGCTAAGGTTTTATATATAGGTTGCTCAATTTACAATTGTTATATCTTCTTGCTGAATTGACTCCTTTATTATAATATAGTAATAATTTTCTTTGTCTCTTTTTATATTTCCGTCTTGGTATCTATTTTGTCTAAATATAGCTACTCCTGCTTTTTGTTGTTGTTGTTGTTTTTACTGGCATAGAATACGTTTTTCCATCCCTTTATTTTCTGTCAATGTGTGTCTTCATAGATGTAGTGTTTCCTGAATACAATAGATTGCTTTGTCTTTCTTTTTTTCATCCATTCAACCAGATTGTTGGGTCTTGTTTTTTTTTTGTGTTTTTTTTTTTTTTTTTAATTCATGTAACTACACTATGTCTTAGATAGGAGGGTTTAAACCATTTACATCTATTGTTATTATTGAGAAGTAGGAATTTAATCCTCCATTTTTTTTCTGGTTGTTTGTCTTCCTTCACTCCTTTCTTTTTTTAACCTCATTATCCACTCCACACTAACTGCATAAACAAACAAGCAAGCAAAGAGAAAACTAATAAAAACTCTACATTTTAACTTCATCTGCTTGCTTTTTAACTTTTTGTTTTTCTGTTTATATCTTATTATACTATGTCTTAAAAAGTTGTAGTTATTTTTAATTGGTTGTTTTTATCTTTCTAGTCAAGATATGAGTAGTTTATACACAGTAATTACAGTCTTATAATATGTTATAATATTCTGTGTCTTTCTGGGTACTTACTATTGCTAGTGAGTTTTGTACCTTCAGATGATTTCTTATTGCTCATTAATATCTTTTTCCTTTACATTAAGGAACTCCCTTTAGCATTTCTTGTAGGTCAGGTCTGGTGTTGATGAAGTCCCCTGACTTTTGTTTGTCTATGTAAATCTTTATTTCTCCTCCAATTCTTAAGGATATTTCTACTGGATATACTATTTTAGAATAAAAGTGATTTTTTTTCCTTTAGCACTTTAAATATGTTGTGCCACTCTCTCTTATCCTGTAAGTTTTCCACTGAGATATCTGTTGCCAGGTGCATTTAAGCCCCTTTGTATGTTGTTTTTTTATTTTCTCTTGCTGCTTTTAGGATGCTTTCTTTATGTGTCCTTGACCTTGGAAGTTTGATTAGTAAATGTCTTGTTGTTCTTATTTGGGTTAAATCTGCTTTGTGTTCTATAAACTTCTTGTCCTTGAATATTAATATTTTTTTCTAAATTTTGGAAGTTCTCTGTTATTATTTCTTTGAATAAACTTTCTACTCTCATCTCTCTCTCCTCTTTAAGGCCAATAACTTAATTTTCCCTTTTGAGGCAGTTTTCTAGATCTTGTAGACATCCTTCATTCATTTTTATTCTCTCTTTCTCTCTCTCTCTTTTTTTTTTTTTTGGACTATTTTGTGTTTTTTCAAATAGCCTGTCTTCAAGCTAATTGTTTCTTCTGTTTAATCAATCCCGCTTTTAACATACTCTGATGCATTCTTCAGTGTGCATTTTTTCAGCTCCAGAATTTCTGCTTGATTCCTCTTAGTTATTTTAATCTCTTTGTTAAATTTATCTGATAGAATTCTGAATTCCTTCTCTGTGTTTTCTTGAGTTTCCTCAATATGTTACCGGGAAGTGTGGAGTCCTCGGTTCTTAGACTCACTTGGAAGAAGGAATTCGGCAAAGAGACCATTTAGGCAAAAATAGAGAATTTACTGAAGAAAAGTAGAGAGCAGAGAGTTTATTTAGAGAGACAGTACACTCAAAGATGAGGCAGAGCAGGCTGTCGAAAGTGAATGAATCAGCAACAGCCCCGAGAGTTCTGCATTGGTTTTTATTGATGCCAGATATTTTCTTGAAGTTTCTGTTTCTGTCTTAAGTTTCCACCTTTTTGTTTGTCCAGTTTTTCCACTTGTGCTTTAGTCCTTACCTAGTTCCCGTCCCAGGATGGTGGGATTCTCAGTGACTATTACTTGGTGTGCATGTGTGGGTCCAGTGTTGGATACAAATTCTACCCAATGGCTGCATTGCTTATTCCTGTCACCCCAGGAAGGTTGAGTAGTGGTCAAATCTATACTTATCGTGCCTTGGTATCTCTTAGGAATTTCTCCTTTGCCCTCTTCTCTTCCTTATAAGCTATATTCTGACAGGTTAACTACAGAGTGAGTAATTACTGGGCATCTTAAGGGTGTTCCTTTCAGCATAGGTACTTCCCATCTTCTCTGCTCATATCTGGTATGCATATTTTAGGTGGTCTCTGGGATGTGAGATTTTCCAGACTTCTCTTTTCTCAGGTGCTGTCCCTCCTGCTCATGTCTAGCTATCTGCCTACTCTAACAAAAACGGTATCATGAATCCTCTGTTTGAAAGGTCAGATAGCTCTGTCTTTCCAGAATTAGTACCTGGTGCCCTATTTAGTTCATTTGACGAAGTCATGTTTTCCTCACTAGTCTGAATGCTTGAAGATGTTCATCAGTGACAAAGCATTAAAGAGTTTGATATTTATTGTAGTCTTTTCAGTCTGTGCTTGTTTGACTCGTCCTTCTTGGGAAGGCGTCTCAAGTATTTGAAGGAACATGGGTGTTGTAATCTTTGGTGTCTTTGTCACTGAAGCCATATCTGCATAAGAGAATCCCAGGCTCAGTAATTAATGCTGTGGCTCTTGCAGACTCATAGAGGTACTGCTTTGGTGGTCTTGAGTGAGATCTGGGAGAATTACCTGCATTACCAGGCAAAGACTCTTGCTTTCTTTCTTTTCCCACTTTTCTTCAAGCAAACAGAGTCTGTCTCCCTGCGCTGAGCTGCCTGCAGCTGGGGTAGGGGTGACACAAGCACCCCTGTGGCCCCCGCCACTGGGACTGCACTGGGTGTCTCCCAAGGCCCACAGTAACCACTGCTTGGCTACCGTCTGTGTTCACTCAAGTTTGGAGTGCTCTAAAATCAACACACAGTGAATCTAGCCAGGCTTATATTCTTCCTTTCAGGGCAGTGAGTTTCCCCTGGTCCTAGGTGGGTCCAGAGATGCCACCCAATATCCAAGACCTGAAGTCAGGAACCTTATAAATCTGTGTGGGTTCTCTACTATACTAAAGCTAAGCTGGCATCCAAACCACATGAAAAAATCCCTCAGTCTTCCCTCCCCTTTCCTCAAGCAGAAGAGTCTTTCCCTGTAACCATACCACCTCAGGCCCATGACAAGTACTGCCTAGCTACCGCCAATGTTCACTCAAGGCCCAAGGGCTCTTTTGTCAGCTGCCAGGCCTGGGTCTCTCCCTTCAGGGAAGTGGGCTTCCTTCTGTCCCCAGGCAGGTTCAGAAATGCTGTTCAAGAGCCAAGGCCCATAATTGGTACCCCAGGATTACTTTTGGTGCTCTACCCCACTGTGGCCAAGCTGGTCCACCAGCTGCAAGATAAAGTCCCTCTGCTTCCCTCAAGCAGGATTCTCTTCCCACGACCACCACAGCTGGGAATGTGCTTGATCACACCTGAAGCCAGTACAGCTCTGAGTCTTACCCAAGGCCCACAGCAAGTGTTGCTTGCCTACCACTGCTGATAATTCAGGGTCCAGGGGCTCCTTTAGTCAGCAGATGATGAGTCCTGCCAGAATTGGATTCTTCCCTTAAGGATAGTAGGTTCCCTTCTGGCCCAGGGTGTGTCTGGAAATGGGGGCCTCAGGACCCTGCCCTATCCTACTGTGACTGAGCTGGTATCCAAGTTGCAAGACAAAATCCTCTTTCCCCTCCCACCTCCTATTTTCAAGCAGAGGAAAAGATCCCTCCCAGAGGTGCTAGTTGTGCTGTTGGTGGTTGGGAGAGAGGTGGCACAAGTACACATTTGGCTGCCCTAGTTGGTGTCTCACTAGGTCACATCCCCAGAAAGTCCACTGGCTCTGAGCCGAGCAAGGCACCAGGACTTGTCCAAGAATTACAATTTTTGTGGCCTAGACGGCCCTTCAAGTTTATTTTAGGCCCCAGAACCCTTTAGCCCATGGTAGCAGGACTTGCTGGCATTTGGCTTCTGACCACTGGGATGGGCAATTCCTCTCTGGCCAGGGTTAGTCTAAATGCTTTCTCCATGGGTGCCAGCTGACTTCTACCCTAAGTTGCTTTCCACTGTGACAGGGCAGCATTGAGTTCCAATGCAAAGTTTCACAATCACTACATTCACCTGCTCCAGCACATAGATTCACTCCTCACCATGTGGCTGGTGCAAGGGGATGAGAGAAGAGTGGTCCAGCCAATTCAAGACTGTCTTTTCTACCTTTTTCAGTGCCTCTTTTATTAATATGATGGTAAAATCAGGTACTGTGGTCACTCACCTGATTTTTCATTCATATGAAAGCTTTTTTGTGGATA
This sequence comes from Homo sapiens, assembly GCF_000001405.40. NCBI lineage: Eukaryota > Metazoa > Chordata > Mammalia > Primates > Hominidae > Homo > Homo sapiens. The sequence goes on along the minus strand of NC_000005.10, from coordinate 26,919,076 downwards.
GTTGTTCAATCTGATGTTCCTGTGGGAGGAATTTTCACTGTAGGCTTGAACTTGGCTGCCTTCCTCCACCTCCTCTTCCACAAATCCATTTTTTAAAAGATGTTAAACTCAGATGTTTTATTAGCCTGGATTCTCCAGAGACACATAAAACATATGTAATTTTATTATAAGGAATTGGATCTCAAGATTATGGAGGCCAGAAAGTTCCAAGAGCTGCAGTTGGCAAGCTGAAGACCCAGGAGAACCATGGTATAGTTTCAGTCTGAGTCCAAAATACTGAGATGCTAGAGAATATATGGTATTGAGTTCCACATCGAGTCTGAGTCCAAAGGCAGGAGAAGATTGATACATTGGCTTGCAGATAGGCAAAGAGAGTAAATTCTCTCTTACTCAGCTTTTTATTTTGTACTCAGGACTTTAAGGGATTGTTTAAAGACTAGTCACCCATACTGAGGTGTGCAATCCACTTTACTAAGTCTAGCCATTCAAATTCAAGTCTATCCATTCAACTTATGTTAAAAAGGCAAGTTTTATTTATGATCTGATTTTATGTGAAAAGTTAGTTTTAAAAAGAGGAAATATTTATGGTCTTCAAGAAATATATGTTAAGTGACTTAATAGAAGAATATCAGTCTTTCCCTTATGTATTTTACAGTTTAGTGGGCATGGTAAACAATTACATCAAATGTGATGAATATCATGATAGGGAATGAAGTGTGCTATGTAAGTCAAGAGCAGGCTCATCCATCCTAATCTAGTGAGTCAGGAAAGGCCTCCCTAAGGAGGAAATTGTAAAATGAAATATGACAAATACTTAGTTAGAGGAAAATACAAAAAAGAAGGTAAAGGTGTAAAAAGGTGAGGGAAACAGATGCAAACATCAGGCTTGAAAGCTAGAACAGGCCTTCTGAGACATAAAGGCAAAACAAAACAATTGCTATGTATAGAATGTATAGCAAGAGGGAAAAGAGGCAGAGATGCCTCTGGAATTCAGGGCCAGATTATCCTGGATGTATAAATAAGGTTATAGAATTCAAGCAATTACATTAATAATAAAAGTAAAGTTTTAAAAAGTTATATTTTTTCAATAAAATAAACTTAGATTTAAAAACAAACAAGCAAACCACAGGCCAATATAACACCAAAATGTGCATGATGCTAACTCTGGTTTTTATGACTTCAGGTTTACAGTTCTTAAATGCTGTGACTTGAAGATGTTTAATCTAGATTGTAATAAGACTACATTTGTGATGTGGAAAAATCACCCTCTTTAGTATGAAAAATTGCTTGGAGTAGAGCAAGAGTGGAGGCAGCATGATTAGAAGATTGCTCTGGTGGTCCAGAGAAGATAAGATGAAGGAAAATACATGATGTAGCCATAGAGATGGAGACAGATGTCTTGAGAAGATATTTCAGAGATGGGAAGGCTACATGTGACAATTATTTTGATGCTGAGCTTGCAAAGGAGGTGTAAAATGTGAAACATTTCTAATTTTGGCTATGATTTAAAAACATAATTTAAATAGTCAAATAATTCAAAGATAAAATGGAATGCTGAAGAAATAGGTGAGGGCAGGATGTAAATGGGAATTGTAAAGTATATGATGTAAGTCAACATAACAGGGGTAAGCTAGTTAAAACTCCATTTTTATCTAAAATTTACTTTCTTGATAATTTCAAATATATAGTTTATTATTTATTATAGTCACCATGCAGGGCAAAAGACCACTGAAGATTATTACTCCTGAATAAATAAAATTTTGCATTCCTTGATCAATATCTCCCATCTGCATCCACATCCTTGTAAATGTTCTCACCACAAAAAAAAAGATAAGTATGTGAGGTGATGAATTTGTTAATTAGTTTGATTTAATAATTTTATAATGTAAGCATATATCAAAATATACTGTAGTCATAATTTTATGATAAAACAATTACTGTTTTCAATTAATTTTAAAAAATTATTTTCAGAATCGTGTTAGGATTGTAAAATCTTTAAGGTTGTTTTTCAATTCGTAATTCCTAGGATTACATGGTCTGTTTGTTGTAAATATTCAATGATCAGCCTCCTACATTAAGAAGTTATTTTTACAGATGGACATTTATCAATGAAAAGAAGATAATTTATGAAAACATAATCCTATTTTTTCCTAAGACATAGTTCATATGGCCAGAGGACAGGCTGTGAGTTTTATATTACTTGAAATCTAAAAGGTATAAAAAATAAAACATTTTCTAAAAATGAGAACATCGTGGTTGAAGAACTATTCTCTCAGAGTCGTATAGAAAATAAGTAATTACAAATCTCTTTCTCTCTCTGATTAGTCTCTCTGAATACAGAGCCCGTGAATCTACAATCAATGTTCTACAGTAGTTCCCCCTTAATCATGGTTTCACTTTCTGAGGTTTTAATTACCCACAGTAAATAACAACAAGATATTTTGAGAGAGAGAGAAAGAGAGACCATTCAAATAACTTTTGTTACGGTATATGGTTATAATTGCTCAATTTTATCATTAGTTATTGTTGCTTATCACTTATTGTGCCTAATTTATTAATTAAACTTTGTCATAGGAAGGTACATATAGGAAAAAACACAATATATACAGGTTTCGGTACACTCCACAGTTTCAGGGATCCACTTATAAAATGTATCCCCCACAGATAAGGGGATACTCTGTACTGAAGGAGAATAAAATCAGTTAAAAATTAAGGTAGCTATTCTGAACTTGTCATTATAATACCTTCAGAAATCTCTCAAATCATATCTTAGAGCTTAGTCATTTTAAATGTAATCAACATTAATTAATCTTTTACACTCAAGATGTAGGTTAATGGATTTTTTTGTAATGCACTGGAGGTTTAAATCTTGGTAACATTTTATTCATAAATATCTTTGTTTTGACAGATACATATTAATTTTCACATTATTTTAAATCTAGTCCATTATGATGTCTAAATATGACTGTTAAAAATTTTGAGTGTAATAAGAACTGAAATATTTAACTCCCTCTCACAGCAAAAGTCAAGATAACCATTAAGATAATTATTGCAGAGCTGTTATATGGAGACGAATTGATAGCGCCAAAATTATGTTTTATGTAATGATAATGTATATATTTACAGAACTCTTCTTTTCTACCTCTCTAAAGCTTCACACTGACCAAGATAAAGGAGATGGAAATTTAAAATACATACTAACAGGAGATGGGGCTGGCAGTCTATTTGTTATAGATGAAAATACAGGAGACATTCATGCTGCAAAGAAACTAGACAGAGAAGAAAAATCTCTGTACATTCTTCGTGCCAAGGCTATAGACAGAAAAACTGGGCGGCAGGTGGAACCGGAATCGGAATTTATCATTAAAATACATGATATCAATGACAATGAGCCAAAATTTACAAAAGACTTATACACTGCCAGTGTTCCTGAAATGTCTGGAGTCGGTAGGTATATTCTAATCCATGTAAACTACTTTTTATTTGTTTGTTTGCTCAGGTAATTATTATTGACTTGTGGTTATGATATGTGGCCTCTTTCAGAATAAGAGTTATAACTGTTAACTACTATTTAGCTTAAACTAGCTCTTCTATTTTTATTTCTATATATCTTAATTCTCCTGTTATGTTGTAATTTATATAAAATATGATTATCAATAGCAGTTAATTCATTTTATTTCAATCAATACCCTCAACTCTACTAACTGGCATTCAAATGGCAGTCAAGTGGAATGTATTTTTGCCAGAAATCAAAAGAATAATAGATAGTATCAGCAGTTTTGGACAATTTTGCTTGCATTATTTTGAATAACAATGCTTGCATTTGGCAAATTTCTACTGAAGTGTTTTTTCATTTGATCATTAAAGCCAACTTATGTGGTAGGCATGAGAAATAGAACTTTAAATCCCTATTCTGTTAATTAGAAACTCAAGATTCAGAAAGATTAAGCAACTGAATTAAGATCAAATAACCTGGTAGCATCATGACAAGATTGCAAGTCTCTTTATGTTATTTTTGTGCACATTCTACCACTGAACATTGCCTTATGCAAACTGAAAATAATTGTTTCACTTCTTAAGGCTGCCCACCATTTTAGATACCACTTGTGCGGAGTTTTATATGTGTATGACTACATTTAACTCTATTAATATAAAAGGTTTAGGTTTGTTAACGAGACAATGAGAACTGATTCACATCATAAAAATATTTCTAAAATAACTGACATAAACTTAATTTACAAGATCTGCAGCCAATTTCCCAAATTTGATACAATTTAGTTGAATACTATTTCAAAACCAGTTTTCAGTGTATGATTTTGACATTCTTATAACTAATATATGTTTCAGTCTAAAATAATTTCTATAGAAGGAGAAACAAACTTATCCACCTTTACTGAATGTTTAATGTAAAATGTTAACTATGTGAGATATTTAGCAGGAAGAACCAAGAATTTTTAAAAACGTATTTATTCTCACCTCAAATGAAATGTCATCTAATTGAGGAAAACACAGTTAAATAGAACTGAAATAGCACTTTCAGGTATTCACTCTAATAAAACAAAAGGAATTTATCAAATTAGACAGGAGTCCTGTGAAATCATAAAGCTCTAATACAAAAAATGAGTGGATATGTTCCCTGTTATATTTTTTAGTATCTTAGTTGCATGGAAAGTACTAGATTGGTTTGTATAGGTCGACCAGTGCGCTAATTTAAACACATACCATGTTTTTTTTAATGGGTTTATATGTGAGATTAAGGTACATATAAAATTACACTCATCAATTTCCTATTGATGATTATTTTAAAGTAATTCTGTTTTTGTTAGTACCTTTTGTAAAATATTATTGTTTCTCTTGTGTACATATTATTTTACCAGATATGTTGAAACCTTACAATATAAAACTTTCACTTATCCTTCCCCAGAAAGATTTGACATACCTAGAAAAGTAAAAAGTATAATTAAGATAATGGAAATATTTGAATATGAGAAACTTTAAGAATAATTATTTTAAATGTGAATACACAAAGTATTTCAAAGAAGTACCCCACTTTTTTGAAAAAACAAGTATTTCCCTATCAGAGACTATTGATATTTAATCGCACATAACCTGTATTTTCTCCTACATTGTTTTCTGATACTTAATGGACTATTATATTTTACTCTGTGTATTACTATTTGTCACCTGTATACATAATTCAAATGTATTTTGTCTCATGTGAAATACTAATACAACTAGGTTCTATTAATATTTGTTGAGTAACAATATCAGAACTGAAATATGCACACACACACACACACACACACACACACACACACAAACATATATGTATATATTTTAGAATCCTTCACTGGTTCCATCACTCATAATAAAATATACAATATATAAGTTTATGCATGAAAGATGTTTTGTAGTTTATATTGTACAAACTATCTTTCTGTAAGGCAATCTATATTTCATTTACATAAGCTTTAAAGTGTAAGCAGTACAACTTCGGATCAGTGTAGGTTGCAGATACAAGGATTTGAGCCATTGTCAGTTGCATTCACTACCTGGCTAGAATTCCCACAAAATGAGACAAGGATATAGTAGCAGGCAGATGTATGGCTCTGGCTGCAGCTTTTGGAACTAAAAAATAAAGATTTAAGAATACAGATAAATTTTAATCCTATTTGTAGAGGACAATTGTTATTCTTCATTACTAATACTAACATTATATTACTTGCTTCCACTTTGGTTCACCTATAACTTTGTATGTGCTTCCATTACCTAAATATAAATGTATAATATATTATATACAATATGCATATGCAGAAGATACTATATTTGGTTTAATTGCCTATTTTAATAAATACAAAAACATGAGCCCAGAAGAATTAAACTGACTTGGCCAAGTTACTACTAGCCTAATTTTAAAAAGAAAAACAAAAGTTAATAGATGCAGAGTGTATTAGTCTGTTTTATGCTGTTGATAAAGTCATATCCGAGACTGGGAAGAAAAGGAGATTTAATGGAATTACAGTTCCACATGGCTGAGGAGGCCTCACAATCATCATGGCAGAAGGCAAGGAGTTGCAAATCATGTCTTACACGGATGGCAGCAGGCAAAGAAAGAGAGCTTGTGCAGGGAAACTCCTGTTTTTAAAACCATCAGATGTCTTGGGACTTATTCACTCTCAGGAGAAAGATGCAGAAAAGACCCTCCCCCATAATTCAATCACCTTCCCATCAGGGCCTCCCGTGACACATGGGAATTGTGGGAGTCACAATTCAAGATAAGATTTGGGTGGGAACATAGCCAAACCATATCACAGAGATAGCTGGACAATTTTATGCCTTACTATTTTTCTCTGTTAAGTAGTTATGTTTATTATTTATTATTCAAAATCTAGTCTGGAAATCTTTTAATTTATTCAATCGTGAGTAACTCCTGTAAATTAGTATCTTTCTTATTTATTACTTTAAATCAAATGTCCTTCTCATTTAAATTAAATCTAAATAAGAATATAAGGGGATAAAACCCCTGCATTTTAATACATACATATCTATATATATCTGTATATATATAAAACTATATATAATCACATATATCACTATATATAACCATATAAATGTGTCTAAATAAAAAGTAGATATATTTTACCTCATAAACTTGTATTGATCTTTTATTGTAACTCTCCTACCTTATTTAAAGGAAAATAAAAGACTAACATTATAATTATTGCAGGTGTGATTTTCTTTACTCCTATGTATCCAAATAAACCAATTTACATAGGAAAACTAACAAGTAATATTTAGGAACTCTGTCATGCCTTGTGTATCCCATATATTAACAGTTAAATCTGATGCATAATCAAAGAATTAAGAATACATCTATAAATAATACACAATGATTTAATTCTAAAATTATTTTCAGATAGTACAAGATATTTTCATTTAAATCAAAGAGTTAAAAACTGCAAGTATTAGCTTTGTGAAGAAATAGAGTCTTATGGAATAAGATAAGATTTCTCTATTATTGCCCTACTCTTCTTTACAATGTTATTTTCTGTTGATCTCTATTTATCTGCCCCTTATTTCCATTCATTTTTATTTCTTAAAGTATTTGTTTCTTCTTCTTCTCTCTTACCAACTCCTTCCCTTCTTGTTTCCCTCTGCTTCAGTTTCTGTCTGTCACAATCATATGCCATATTTCACATTGGATTTTTAGTGCCAAATGCCCAACCCATTTTCGGTTAAAATAAAATGACTCCAATAAACTCATGAAATCTGAAATACACTAGCATATTCTAATCAGAACATATAATCTGGAAGATATACAAAGATATATATTTAAAGATAATGGGATACACTTTGATTACAATGTTTTGTATTTTCCATTTCTATTTCTACTTTTTTTTTTCTTGTGATCATTACACTATTGATAAAATATTTTCTATCAACTTGCTTCATGTGCATGCTTTCGTCTTCACCTAGGCAAATTTTTGTTTTGTAAATTTGGTGATTGGGGATGCTTCCTTTCTCAGTGACTGGAAATTTCCCCCACCTTCACTCTCAAAAACCTATCCAGTCCTCTTCCTAACACTTTGACCCCCAACCAGGAATCCCTTTGTAATTTTTTACAGACAACAAAAATAACTCGGTCAATGAATTCTTCATGTCCCAGAGGTTCACTATGTGTGGATTCAATAATGTATCCAATTGTATTTCTAACACCAGAGAGATAGGCCGTTTGGTAAAGTATTTATAAAGAAAATTCTTGACCAAATATATTTATAATGGACTTTGACCTAGTCCAGCTCTATCACATACCGGGTTTGTGGTCATTAGCAACTTCTATGTACGCCAAGGCCCACATCCCACATGTATCATGAGGATTAAGTAATAAAAACTAGTCAGGTGCTGAGAACTATGTCTAGTCTACATTAAGCATTCTGTGAAAGTTAGTTCTTAGGATTTTGCACTAGATTCTCTGCTGGGTTTTAAGTATAAAGTGTTGAACAAACTAGATATGGACTCTGCCCTTAAAGAGTTTGCATTTCACAGTAAAATAAACTTATATCTAACAAAGCATGATTTAAATTCCTGGACATCGAATTAATGGACCCCTTATAATTCCATGACACTGTCTGAAAACATCACCCCTACTTCTCTTATTAGTGGCCCCCACAGCACAAACATTTATGTCAAGGGCACTGTTTACCCCTGCTCCTCAAATTAGTGGCTGTCATCGCCCTATGGCAGAAGAAAACAGTTGACTCTGTCAAAACCAGATTCATATAGAGGTGTGAAGACTAAACTCGTTTTTCACTTTCTGTAACTTTCGTTAACTTATTCTCACACTGAAGCAAGTCAAAATATTCCAGTCTCTTTTCTACAGTGCTCAAAAGACAGGCCTTAGGCTACAGGGCAGGAAAAAGCCCATACTATTCACCTCTTTTCTTTGTTTCCTCTAGTTCATAGAGTGATTCTGTTTCTTTAAACTTTAGTTGGTTTTACCATTCTATCAACCACTCCAGACATATGGAAAGACAGATGATAGATAGATATACATAGATACAGATAAAGAGAATGTGTGTGAGAGAGAGAAAGCTTTTACATGTTATACAACATAATAGGCTGTGATACATATTTTCTGACATTACCATGCCACAAAGTTGCTGTTTGTTAAAGAAGAATAAAGGCAGTATTTCCCCTTCTCTATACTATCTGTGTGTAGAAAACCGTTTAAATTAGTAACATTTATACTGACTAAGTAATCTTTGTATACAAATATTTTATTGTAAGTTTATATAGAGAGATAATTAATGCCAGATAGATAGATAGATAGATAGATAGATAGATAGATAGATGGATGATAGATACGAGGCCTAGGTTTTGGGGTCATTTACATTTGCGATTTTAAATATTTCAAACACTAGATTCAAAACATTTTCATATTTGCATATAAGGCACAAATATATAGAGGGATGTTTTTTCTTTTATATATGAAGTTTATTTTGTATAGTGTAATAAAATGAATTGATTTAACTTCCTCTAATATGATGTGTAAATATATATGTAAGACCAACTGGCATAACTTGGTTACATTGTGTAATCTAAACTTTTCTTATCTTTAAATTATAATAATAATTATATTGATGAATTTTTCTCCCATATCCAGAGGAATGCTTTTGGTTCCCCAAAATCTTTAGCCACCGAATTATTTATCAGCTTTTAACATTTCTTCATGATTTACTATTATAGAATTAGCCTTTGAGTCTTTGAAATTTTCCTAAAGATTATTAGTTATACAGTTAAGTAAATAATGAGTTAAGAATTACAGTAAACTTCTTTGATTCCTTAACATATTTTCTATTTAAAGTAAGATATTATATGCAAAACTCATAAAAATGTGAATTGCAAAAATAATGGTCTCGCGAATACTAGATGACGAGTTAGTGGGTGCAGCGCACCAGCATGGCACATGTATACATATGTAACTAACCTGCACAATGTGCACATGTACCCTAAAACTTAAAGTATAATAAAAAAAAAAAAGAAAAAAAATGGTCTCAAAATCGTGTTTACCTCTTTGATATGAGATGCAATATATAAATTTGTCATTCAAGTTTCACTATATTTTACTTACTATATTTTTATCTTTAATATGAAAATAAAATATTTATTTTAAATAACTAAAGAACAAATAAAAATTATACATATTTTGGAAAATTTAGTGGGATGTAAATATCCATGTGTATTCTCTTTTATTTTGTCTCTATAAAGAAACATTTATAAAATTAGTATAAAATGGCTGGGCACGGTGGCTCACGCCTGTAATCCCAACACTTTGGGAGGCCAAGGCGGGCGATCATGAGGTCAGGAGATCGAGACCATCCTGGCTAACATGGGAAACCCCGTCTCTACTAAAAATACAAAAAAGATTAGCCAGGCTTGGTGGCGGGCACCTGTAGTCCCAGCTACTCGGGAGGCTGAGGCAGGAGAATGGCGTGAACCCGGGAGGCGGAGGTTGTAGTGAGCCGAGATTGCGCCACTGCACTCCAGCCTGGGCTACAGAGTGAGACTGCATCTCAAAAAAAACAAAAATTAATATAAAACATATAAACCATTTTCTATTTAATTTTATTACTAAATGCTTTTAACTTTTAATTACACCTCTGAAAAAAACTACAACTCTTTATTCCCTATAATCTAACACACTGTCTCTCAGTTTGCTAAAAAATAACATATCAATGATATTTTGTCAGTGACTACCAGTGTTTAAAAGCATTCTTAATTATTACCAGAGCTCTGAGAGGTGGAACAAGTATTTTATGTGTGCTTTTAGCTTTTTGGCCACATCATAGAGTTTATTTCTGTTGTTTATATTAACTTCTTTCTCTTTGTTAAGCGTCCTTGCGTAACTTCAAAGATCATCTACCGACTAATAGAGCTAATAATCGAAATTAAAATTCCACAAAAATATTATTTGAAAGAGTCAAATAAACATAAAAGATTGTTTTTACCTGTACCCATTATGAAAGCTTACAATAATGTTCATGTTAAAAGAAAAATAAAATGGGTAACTCAAGAAATGTCCTAAAATTGATGAACGAACTACTTGTATTTTCAGCATATTGGTAATGCTTAATAATTCATATTTCAATAACCTCCAATTGTGAAAACCACACTTATTCTAATATATATCACATAGGGTTATATAAAAAGGACATTACATGTAAATTAAAAAAAAACACTTGTTGAACTTCTGCACATCATAAAGTGATTTGTGTGGGGGGAATGTAAATCACTTTATCATTTTTGCTTTCATCTAATGAACACATGGGTGGATAATTTTTTAATGATAAAAGCTTACAGCTGGAATGGATTAAGTAAATATGCAATGTTTCCATTCACTCACAGGACACATCAATTCCATCACAGTTGAGAAAACAGAGGCCTCAAGAGAATGAGCTCAAGTTGTCATTGTTATGCTAATTAATTTTGAGAAAACATTAAAAAGCCTTGCTCAATTGATGTGTTAACATTCAAACATATTGACAGGAAATGAGCTGTTAATATTGATCTTAATTACTATATATTAATTTTTGGAATTGGCATACACATATACACGCAACATTTGAGAAACATCCACCATAATTCAATTAGACAAGTTATTGAGTGTGTAATGCATGTGGGCTATTAAATTAGGTGGTAGGGCCAATATGGAATTCCTCCTATTTTCAAAATCTTTAAAATGTATGTAAGAGTGAGACTCAAACTTTTAGAAATTATGTAAAATATACTGAAAAATGTCCTACAATCTAGCTTTGTCCAAGGGCAAACCTAGTAGGCTTCATTTAAGGGTGATGTCAGAACCATGCTTTGAATCTTTATAGAAATTCAGGAAAAGATAATTTTAAAAATTCATCAATATATTTTATTATGCTGATCCCTGCTTTTAAAGCACTTTTATGTTTTGAAAGATTTGAAACAAAATTTAACATAATTTAAATTTAATGATATAAAATTAGATAGTAAGGTTAAATTGCAGTATTGCATGTGACACAGAATTACACACTTTAGATCTTCTTTTGGAGAATAATGATTTACAAATGTGCAGCAAATAACCAGTATTATGCAGCATATCAATAGAGGTAATCATAAGAACCATATTATCTATATTTAAAAGAGAGGCATAGGCCCTTCATAATTAGGTATATCTTGGGAACAAAAAATATCTTGCAGGTCAATTTTACAGCATTTTGGTTTATTTCTTCATAGAAATTTTCTCTTTATTTTTTTATTTTATTTACCATTTACAGTCAAATATACCAGAATAAAAAGCAGCAGCAGGTTAAAAAATGTTAGATTTATCTTTTAAATACATGTTTCCAGTTAGTGGTAAATGTATTAATTACAAATTTCATGTGTGTTATATTCATTTTAAGAATGTTTGCCCTAAAACACTTCCAATCAATTAAAAATGTGATGCATTAATTAGTCTTATTATATTCACCTTACTGATAATATATTTTGATACTTTTTCTTAGATAAACAAAAAAATTAAGAAACACTTCAGTTTATAGAAAATGAGAAAGGAAAGTAACTTTTTTGAGGAAGTATTTAAATAAATTTCTTCAAACATACAACATCGTCTAATACAAAACACTGAGAGCAACATATTTTTAAGAAAGATTGTTTCAGATTTGGAAGTATGTAAATGTCTCTGTTTGGGGATGGGGGTTTCATGTAGGTACATCTGTTATACAAGTAACTGCAACAGATGCAGATGACGCCAACTATGGAAATAGTGCCAAAGTGGTCTATAGCATATTGCAAGGACAGCCATATTTTTCAGTGGACCCAGAATCAGGTACAACATTTAAACTTGGCTGACTTCTTATTGTATAATACATTAAGATGCATAATTAATTTAGAGATTTTTAAAATATTTTAAAACCATTATTCTTTCAGTTTCATGTTTCTATTTGTTTCCTGTCATTATTGGATGTAAACAAATGCAAACTTTCTATTATTTTAATAACTTATTTGAACCCTTAGCTCTTTAAACTATTATTCATTGGGTTTAAATTTGAAACACTAAATACAAAATTTCACAGAGATTCAGCACATTATGTGGCATAGAGAATACTCAAAACTTGAATATGACAATTATCAAAATTAAACAACTGTATATGTCTAAAGATTTTTGACTGAAGTTAATTTTTGTAATCAAAAAAATTAAATACATTGATTTAGCAAAACCCATTTCATGAACTATAGCCCGTGGGAAAATCCTTCCTGTTCTGTGAATTATCTTAAAGTGGTTATGGATTGAAGGACATATTTAAATACACTGACATTTTATGTTTGTTATAATCAACTTTTGTAAAATGAGTCTTGTCTAGCTTAATTTTAAAACTCAGCGATTTAATTGCAAAACTTTTGTCTGCTTTTTCCAAAAGGCATAATAAAAACTGCATTACCAGACATGAGCAGAGAAAATAGAGAGCAGTACCAGGTTGTTATACAGGCCAAAGACATGGGTGGCCAGATGGGAGGCCTTTCTGGAACCACCACAGTGAACATCACGCTGACAGATGTCAACAACAACCCTCCTCGATTTCCCCAGAGTAAGAAATGTTTCAGTGATCTCATGTCCAAAAACTTCTCAAATACACTAGTAGCCGAGTTTAATATTCACATTTCATACTAGTAGTTTTGCTATTGGTTTATGCATAAAGAAAAAACCATAATCCATTCCTCTACCAAAAAAAAAACACAATTTCCCACAAATAGAGAGTGATGGTGATTATTTTCATCATTTTTTGGAGTATGTAGTGGAAGAAAACAAAGTATTAAGCTTCTCTGGCAACTTTTAAATTAACTTCTCTAACTTTGAAGGATTATAAAGTTTTCCAGACTTCCTTTCTCATCATTCACTGAGATTGTCTCAACATTTTCCTTTGGATCCACTTCTTGGTTAGGAGGGTGGGCTCTCATGTCTGCCTATCTGGATTCAAATCCTGTGTCTCTCACTTGTCTTACCTCAGCTACCTTGTTTTACACGCAGACTTATAATCTCTTATCTAACTGATTCTGAAACACAGACTTCTTGATAGTTTAAAGATATCAGTGCAGATGGGCTTATTTAGCATCATTTTTATATTTTCCTAGTGGCCCATAGAGTTATGGTTTACTATGTTTGTGAGGGCATTTTAGACGTATTCAAGTTTGGTAGTATCTCTGGTACTAAGTTATGAAGATTACATCAGTTAACACTCTTTCAGTTGTCACCATTTTAGGATAGACATTAAACCATGGATGCTTTGCATTTCATGATGTCCTGCAGAAAAAGATTTCCATTCTCTGCTGAAATTTGTTATTTTGCAGTGAATAAATATATAAGGACCCCTATTTCAAAATATTCAATTAAATGCTGAAACTTAAATTCATATCGCTAATCTCAATACAGTAAAACATTTTTCCAGGCCAATTATATTTAAAATGTTGTATTGATCTTTGATTGGTGGACATATTCATATGTTATATGTAAAACAATAAAGTTTGCTGAGAACATAAATAATAAGCCTAAATAACATAAACTTAATCTTTGCATTCATATTCCTTTATAAAGAGACTCGATGCATTTTTAATGCCTTGACATTCTGTAATTCTGTTATCTATAATAATGCTAACAAAACTTTGGAACTATAAGAGTAATAATAAAATATTAAGGACTAGACCCAGAACTAAATTTTTGTAACCCATAAAACAAACCTATGAGTGAATTACTATCATTATCATCCTTATTTCTTAGACGCAGACATCAAAGTTTAGCGAATTTAACTAACTGGCCAGGTGGTCAGAATTCAAACCCAGGCAGTTGAATTTATTTACTCATATTCTTAACCACCAAATAAATTGGAAAGAATATAGACTTTGAAGTCAGAAAGAATTAGTTTTTGCATCCTCCCTTTCCCAAGTCTGCAGGATAATTTCCTTAAGACCTGCCCCTGAAGATGATATAGCTAAATTGGTCCTTTGAGGACTAGTGTGAGGATTAAATAAATTAGCATATAAGCCTTTAGACCTTGTATAGACTGCAGCACATTGTAAATGTTTAAAAATATTTCTGACCTTCATTAACATTAAAGTTTTCTTTTTTCTATTGTCTCTTGAATAGGTAGCCACAAACTAAAATGCTTTTTAGGGTTACCAGAATACAATATAACACTTGCCTGAACCTACAAAAAATACAAACATCCATGCCCCACTAAAAGATATTAAAACTAAAACAAACAGCAAAAAAAAGAAACATTGGTCTGTATGGCATTATTTTTTATTCCTGATTTAGAATAAAATAATAAATGCATTTTAAAAAAAATAATTGAATACATGTTAAAAAAAAAAGTGTGATGACCATTTTGAAAGCCCCAGATGAGCAGTAAATATTTGTTTTTCATGTTCTTTTAAGCCAAAAGTTCTGGATTCTTATATCAGGCCTACCATCTATAGTCTAAATAAATTTGGGACATTCTCTAATTTTTTTTTCTGGGACTTACACTTCTCATTTACTAAATGAGAGTGTTCTGTTTTATAAATTATTTTTCCAAATTAATAAATATACAATTTTGACAGCTTACAATTCAATATGATAAAAACTCTCCCTATTTAAAATTAATGTATTTAAGTTAAAAATGCAGAGGAAATGAAAAAATGTTATATAAAGATGAAATGTCAAAACAGCTCTTACTTAATTTATAGGTACGTATCAATTTAATTCTCCTGAGTCTGTACCTCTTGGAACTCATCTTGGAAGGATAAAAGCCAATGACCCTGACGTGGGGGAAAATGCAGAAATGGAGTATAGCATTGCTGAAGGAGATGGTGCAGACATGTTCGATGTCATCACTGACAAGGATACACAGGAAGGGATTATAACTGTCAAACAGGTTTCTTTTCACTGTCTTCATCTTTTCATTGAGTGCTTTATAATTTACGTTTGCTTTTCAGTAAAGGGAAAAAAAGCCTGGGATTTATTTTCCCCCATCTTTTACATGCTGTCTATCCTTCAGATAAATGAGAATAGTTGTGATATCACTTCAAGCAAGTTAAATGTCTTCATAATTGACACTTAAAACCTCAGTTGTTCATGCTAAAACTAGAAAACAGTCAAATTAAAATTAGATAAACTTCAAGGTACTTGTTTTGTATTTCTCCATAGAGGAAAATATAAACACACAGCCATCATTATTTCATGCACTTTTCAAAATATTTTCATTGTAAGTGTGATGATATATTTAAATAAATAAAACCTGAAGATGCTTTGTGTTTTCCATTGGTTGCCTCGATTTTCAATGCAATGTGGGAGAACATTCTTAATCTTTACATCTAATAATAGAGCTCAATATTATCATTTCATATTGTCCTTATTTCACTTTTTATTCATATCTTACTTTCCACAAGTGCTCAAATAATTGAAGTAGAAATAATTTTTATTCTATACTTCTATTTTATATTTTTCTTCTGATTATAACTGCATAACTTTAATAATGATAATACATAATGTATAAATCCATTAGATAATACTTCATTTACTTGTCACCAAAAAAATGAAGCATATTACTAAGTGAGAATCAATCTCAATGTGTATGCCATTATATTAAGTTAACCCTCTGTGAATAAGTGTATGGCAAAACATATATTTATAAATTTATTTCATATACCTATGAAGCAATCATTGTCATTTAAATAGAATTGTTGGTATAATCATGATCGCTGGCTATTAAAATTTGAAATCGTCTTTCATTGTCATATCTTCTGAATTATGCTAATTTCTTTTATGTTATTTAACTCCAGAATTTAGATTTTGAAAATCAAATGCTCTATACTTTAAGAGTGGATGCAAGTAACACTCACCCTGATCCACGATTCTTACACCTGGGACCTTTCAAAGATACAGCTGTGGTCAAAATATCTGTGGAAGATATAGATGAGCCTCCTGTGTTCACTAAAGTCTCTTACTTGATAGAAGTAGATGAAGATGTAAAGGAGGGCAGTATCATTGGACAGGTTACAGCATACGATCCAGATGCCAGGAACAATTTAATAAAGTAAGTACTTTGAAAACATTTATTATGTTTTTAGAAATATAATAATCTCACTATTTACAAACTGTGTGAAAAAATGGTTGCACAATGTATAATCAAGCACAGTAATAATACCAATAATCTCACTATTTACAAACTGTGTGAAAAAATGGTTGCACAATGTATAATCAAGCACAGTAATAATACCAAACACTTCCAGAGAACAAATTCTTAGCTTGGCTGTCTTTGAAATGCTCTGGGTACAAGGTAGATAGTATTATAATTTGTTTTTGGGGAGGATAAAACTGAGGCACCAAGTACTTAAGTAATTTGCCCATTGTTTATTAGCAAAGCTGATTTTAAGAACCAGGCAGTTTAATGCCAGAGTCAATGATTTTAATACCTTTATTGTTGCCGTAGTCCTTGTCTCATTGTCCCTCTTGGTTAAATACAAGTTCAAATTAATAAGGAACTAAATAAATAAATTAGAAAAAAATGTTTTCCTAGAAAATATGAAATATTTTCTTTTGAAAATTGTTGGGCCTAACACATATCAAAATTTTTGAAGAATATTATGTCAATTATATTCTCATAACAGAGTATTACTAAAGATATGACATTTAAGTGAATAAGAAAGGTAAAAGTATTAATTTGTATAGCATATCTTTCCAAATTTTGAATAGTTTTCACCATTTTAAAGGTTTTAAATATGTCAGAAATATAAATGAATCTCATATATTGTTCAAAGGGGAATTTAAATATAGTTGGGGCATATATAGATTAATGCATGGGATGAATAATGATAGGTGGATGTGTGGAGGAACATATAGACAGCTGAAGAGATAGACAATACAATAATCTGTTAAATATATGGCTAATAAATTATCTAAAATTCTACTTTGCTTAACATTTAATTAGTTAGGGAAAATGGTTAAATTCTTTTCATGTTGTCCTTTACATATAGCATATTAATAATCACAATACTAAATATATAACCATTTAATTTTCATTTTAGGACTATCCAAATATGTTAATTCATAAAGCAATTTGTTGCACTAAATATATTTTAATGATGATTTAATTTGTTGGTGAGATTAAGAACATGTTAACCTTTGTAATTAAGAAACAGTCCATAAAATCCAATGTGTAGTTAATGCCTAGAGCTTATATTAGATTGAAAATTAGGGTTAGTTTTAGGTTTATTACAGTATAATTCACTAAACATCTGTTTTAAAAAAATACATTATCAGTATCAAATTATGTACTTGTTATATTGTTTAACATCATTTTGAAACACACCTTCTTGTTATTATTGGAGATTATTTACCTCTGGCAGGATTTTTACCATGATACATAAAATGCTTAATTAAAATGTTCATATTGCTTAAAGTAAAACTCTTGAAATAAAATGAAAAATTAATCTAGCCGTCCAATGACCAATGTATATGCACTAGCGTGTTCATATCCAAAGCAATGTAGATTTGTGTTTTATTGAAATGGTATATGAGTGCTTGTTGGTGTCTTTTGTATGAGGGTTTATTAGAAAAGAGTGTAAATTATTTTTATGTTTTCTGCAGTACTGAAATGGAAATAAAAGTATTCATCTATTTTTTAAAGGACAAGGGGTTGGTCATACCAGTAGCTACAAATGCTCAACAAGTGTCTGTTTTTTTATAGTATTTGTCATGTTTCAAAAAAATCATCAATGTTGGTTGTGTCTTGATTTCTCCTTAGTGTCTGTTGCACCATATTTTTATGCTAGAAATCCTACATTCATTTTAGAAGTAATTGATTGTAACTTGTTTCAGTGCAATCACACATTACTGGAAAACTGTAAACAATGACATCATATCAACTTAGATGATGAAACATGTTATTGCTGGACAATTGAACATTTTTGAGTCTGAATGAGACCAAATCTTTTTAATAATCCATGTTATCTTTTCTTCATTCATCTAGCATATTTGCTTATTAGGAATTCAGTAAATGCTGGGCACCTTGCAAGAGGCATGATGCCCCTTCAAGGTCACCAAGGCTATTTATTTTGTAAAATAAATTAGCCACTTAGTCACTTTTGCATGACGCTTATAAGAGATACCTTCTATAGTTTTGTTTTTCTGTAATGTTTTTGTCTAAATTTGGTAAAATGGAAGTACTGCTTCATAGAATACAGTAGGATATATAATATGCTCTTTAATTTTCTGAAAGAGTTTGCACAGAATTAGAATGTTTCCTTAATGTTTGGTAGGATTTAAAAATGACAATATTTGGGGCTGTAATTTTGCTTTTTATATGAGTTGTATCTACATATTTTATTTCTCTAGTAGTTACAGAATTATTCTGGTTATCTAATTATTTAATGAGCTAAGTTTTGTTTTTAATTTTTTATCTCTCAGGGAATTTGTAAATCTCATCTAAGTTGTCAAATGTATTAACATAAAGTTGTTCAAAATATTTTCACATTATCCTTTGATATCTGTAGTGATGAAAGCTATCTTTAATATTGTTAACTTTTATCTACTTTATCCTGATCAGTGTGACAAAACTTTTTTGAAATTTATTTATTTTCTCAAAAAAAACTAACTTCTGGTTTTATATATTTTTTGCTTATTTTTTTCTTTTTTTTTTTAAATTATACTTTAAGTTCTGTGATACATGTGTTTAACCGGCAGGTTTGTTACATAGATATACACGTGCTACGGTGGTTTGCTGCACCCATCAAACCGTCATCTACATTAGGTATTTTTCCTAATGCTATCCCTCCCCTAGCTCCCCCAACCCCTGACAGGCCCTGGTGTGTGATGTTCCCCTCCCTGTGTCCATGGGTTCTCATTGTTCAACTCCATTTACCCTCTACAGGCCCCAGTGTGTGATGTTCTCCCTGTGTCCATGTATTCTCCTTGTTCAACTTCCATTTATGAGTGAGAACATGTGGTGTTTGGTTTTCTGTTCCTGTGTTAATTTGTTGAGAATGATGATTTCCAGCTTCATCCATGTCCCGGCAAAGGACATGACCTCATTATTTTTATGGCTGCATAGTATTCCATGGTGTATATACAGTCTATCATTGATGGACATTTGGGTTGGTCCAAGTCTTTGCTATTGTGAATAGTGGTGCAATAAACATAAGTGTGCATGTGTCTTTATAGTAGAATGATTTATAATCCTTGGGGTATATACCCAGTAGTGGGATTGCTGGGTCAAATGGTATTTCTGGTTCTAGATCCTTGAGGAATCACCACACTGTCTTCTACAATGGTTGAACTAATTTACATTCCCACCAACAGTGTAAAAGTGTTCCTATTTCTCCACATACTCTCCAGCGTCTTTTGCTTCCTCACTTTTTGATGGTTGCCATTCTAATTGATGGAGATGGTGTCTCATTGTGGTTTTGATTTGCATTTCTCTAATCACCAGTGATGATGAGCTTTTTTTCATATGTTTGTTGGCCGCATAAATGTCTTCTTTTGAGAAGTGTCTGTTCATATCCTTCACTCACCTTTTGATAGGATTGTTCATTTTTTCTTGTAAATTTGTTTAAGTTCTTTGTAGATTCTGGATATTAGCTCTTTGTCAGATGGATAGATTGCAAAAATTTTCTCCCATTCTATAGTTTGCCTGATCACTCTGATGCTAGTTTCTTTTGCTGTGCAGAAGCCCTTTAGTTTAATTAGATCTCATTTATCAATTTTGGCTTTTGTTGTCATTGCTTTTGGTGTTTTAGTCATGAAGTCTTTGCCTATGCCTATGTCCTGAATGGTATTGCCTAGGTTTTCTTCTAGGGTTTTTATGGTTTTAGGTCTTACGTTTATGTCTTCAGTCCATCTTGAGTGAATTTTTGTATTATGTGTAAGGAAAGGATCTAGATTCAGTTTTCCGCATATGGCTAGCCAGGTTTCCCAACACCATTTATTAAATAGGGAATCCTTTCCCCATTTCTTGCTTTTGTCAGGTTTGTCAAAGATCAGATGGCTGTAGATATGTGGCATTATTGCTGGCTCTGTTCTGTTCCACTGGTCTGTATATCTGTTTTGGTGCCAGTAACATGCTGTTTTGGTTACTGAAGACTTGCAGTGTAGTTTGAAGTCAGGTGGCGTGATGCCTCCAGCTTTGTTCTTTTTGCTTAGGATTGTCTTTGCTATAAGGGCTCTTTTTTGGTTCCATATGAAATTTAAACTAGTTTTTTCTAATTCTGTGAAGAAAGTCAATGGTGGCTTGATGGGGATAGCATTGAATCTACAAATTACTTTGAGCAGTATGGCCATTTTCACGATACTGATTCTTCCTATCCATGAGCATGGAACGTTTTTTCCTTTGTTTGTGTCCTCCCTTATTTCTTTGAGCAGTGATTTGTAGTTCTCCTTGAAGAGGTACTTCACATCCCTTGTAAGCTTTATTCCTAGGTATTTTATTCTCTTTGTAGTGATTGTGAATGGGAGTTCACTCATGATTTGGCTCTCTGTTTGTCTGTTATTGGTGTATAGGAATGCTTGTGATTTTTGCACATTGATTTTATATCCTGAGATTTTGCTGAAATTGCTTATCAGGTTAAGGAGATTTGGGGCTGAGACGATGGGGTTTTCTAAATATACAATCATGTCATCTGCAAACAGACACAATTTGACTTCCTCTCTTCCTACTTGAATACCCTTTATTTCTTTCTCATGCCTGATTGCCCTGGCTTGAACTTCCAATACTATGTTGAATGAATAGGAGTGGTGAGAGAGGACATCCTTGTCTTGTGCCAGTTTTCAAAGGGAATGTTTCCAGCCTGTGCCCATTCAGTATGATATTGGCTGTGGGTTTGTCATAAATAACTCTTACTATTTTGAGATACGTTCCCTCCATACCTAGTTTATTGAAAGTTTATAGCATGAAAGGGTGTTGAAGTTTATTGAAGGCCTTTCCTTCATCTATTGAGATAATCATGTGGTTTTTGTCATTGGCTCTGTTTATATGATGGCTTACTTTATTGATTTATGCATATTGAACCAGTCTTGCATCCCAGGGATGAAGCCAACTTGATCGTGGTTGATAAGCTTTTTGATTTGCTGCTGGATTGAGTTTGCCAGTATATTACTGAGGATTTTCACATCAATGTTTATCAGGGTTATTGGCCTGAAATTTTCTTTTTTTGTTGTGTCTCTGACATGTTTTGTTATCAGAAAGATGCTGGCCTCATAAAATGAATTGGGGAGAGTCCCTCTTTTTCTATTGTTTGGAATAGTTTCAGAAGAAATGGTACCAGCTCCTCTATGTATCTCTGGTAAAATTTGGCTGTGAATCCGTCTGTTCTTGGGCTTTTTTTTTGTTGGTAGGTTATTAATTACTGCCTGAATTTCAGAATTTGTTATTGGTCTATTCAGGGATTCAACTTCTTCCTGGTTTAGTCTTTGGAGGGTGTATGTGTCCAGGAATTTATGAATTTCTTCTAGTTTTTTTAGTTTATATGCATAGAGGTTTTTATAGTATTCTCTAATGGTAGTTTGTATTTCTGTGGGATCACTGGTGATATTCCCTTTATCATTTTTTATTGTGTCTATTTGATTCTTCTCTCTTTTCTTCTTTATTAGTCTGGCAAGTGGTCCACCTATTTCTTAATCTTTTCAAAAAAACTACTCCTGAATTCATTGATTTTTTTGAGGGTTTTTTTGTGTCTCTATCTCCTTCAGCTCTGCTCTGATGTTAGTTATTTCTTGTCTTCTGCTAGCTTTTGAATTTGCTTGCTCTTGCTTCTCCAGTTCTTTTAATTGTGATGTTTGGGTGTCAAGTTTAGCTCTTTCCCACTTTCTCCTGTGGGCATTTAGTGCTATAAATTTCCCTCTAAACACTGCTTTAGCTGTGTCCCAGAGATTCTGTTATATGTGTCTTTGTTCTTATAGGTTTCAAATAACTTATTTATTTCTGCCTTCATTTCATTCTGTTGTATAATGAAATGAAATTTTCATTTCATTCTATTGTATAATGAAATGAAATTTTCATTTCATTCTATTCTATAATGAAATGAAATTCATTTCATTTCATACTATTGTATAAATGATATACTATCATGTATATTATACATCATAAATAAATATTTAGATTAGAGATATATACAATCTTTACATACACACATATACTTGGTGTGTATGTGCATATAAAATCTCCCTATATCTGATAATTTCCATGTGTGTATATAAAACCTCTCCTGTATCTGATAATTTCCCAAGGATATAATTTCAAAAGTAAAATTTCTCATTCAAAGACTGATAGTAAAATTTGCAAACTTGCTTCCCAGTGTTTAAAAAAATGGCTTTAAAAAAGTTCAGTTTAAAGGTCATCCGGAAATCTTTGTTTTGTATAGGGTACTCAAGTCCTAGAAATAATCAATTATAATTTCACCTGTAGCATCTCAAGATTATTATAAGGAGTGGAAAAATATTGAGCGAAATTAATCTCAAATTGTATTCTTCAGATGGTACTACCAATTCTGCCAATTTGCAAGGCCATACCGGAAAGCATAGCACAGAGGATGGCTTCTGTTAGCATTCAAAATGTATGCAAAAAAGCCTTAGATATCCAATTATAGTGTGAAGAAAAATCAGCAATAATTCAACAAGAATGCAACATTGTAGCATGGGACTGTTTTGTTTGCTACGATCAAATTTAGAAGGATGACTGATCTCAGAGCAGAAATAGGCTATGATAAGCATCACAGAGAAACATTTTTCCAGGGAAAGATTGGGAACTAATTCTCATCCACGATTAAATCTGTTCATCAAATATATTTTCTGAAATACATCTGCCACTTGCAACATGAGATTATGGTTACAATTAGCAGCTGTTGTCAGCTCTGCTTCACCTCATTAGTAATCACGAATCTCCAAAGTTATAGGGTTGATTATAGCTTTACAAGATCTGAAATAACATGTTGCCTCATTTTACACCTATTTTATGCTTAACGTATTTAAAGTTCAATGATTTTTAAAAGATCCTTTCTACTGCTGTGGAATTGAAAAGTAACAAAACAAACTTTCTGGTGAGGGATTTAATTATGCCTCAATAAAATGTCCATGACTTCAAAATAAACTGGAATAAATGTGTAAGTGCATTCCTGTATAGTGGTGCTTCTCTCATATTTGCTTGATTTTATTGCAAAAGGTAAAATAATAATAATCTAACAATAATATCACTAATCTCTGCAAAAAAGATTTGAACTATTTTTTCAAATGAAATTATAAATAATGTCATTGTATAGCTAATACTCAATATTCATTTTTGAGGGATAATGAATGGCTAGGTCACAGCTATGAAAACATGTTTCTGGAAAGCAGTAGCTGAAAAGTAAAAAGCAAATTATGTCCTACCTAAATTGACTTAGTCAGTGGAAGAAATATATGGAATCCAGCAGAGAAAAAGGAATGCATTCTTGACATATTTCTGCATATTACTCATTTATTCTGGTGTCTATAATTGAGTTTAGATTATTTGTGCTAGGTAAAAATATAGATATATGATACATGCTTGACTTTTAATGGTAGAACATAAAAATATAAAGCAAATAAGAAAAATGAAAAGCAGAGTTCAGCTTTTGTGGGAAGAGAGCCCTTGTGCTCTCTTTCACATGTTATTTGATGCCTATATGATTGGATCCTGTCTCTGCAGAGAGTATTTATACAAAACTTATGACAATGGCCTTTTTAAACTGATTGTTCAAAATTCAATGCAGGGGGACCAATAAAATATTGTTGTTATAGTAGGCCATCTGCTGGAACATAGAGATAGCTTTGTTCTGTGTTAAGGGTTTATCAGGCTCTTTCTGGTCATTTGTGGTAATCCAATGTATTTATTATTAATAAGTAAATCTGAATGTGCTATTCTGGGTGAAAATAGAAGTTTGGCTGCTAAATAAAAGAAAATTATCTCTGAGCTTTGACAAATTGTGAGACATCACTTGCACTGGAAACAAAAATTTGAATATAGACCTGGAAGTTGGCGCTGTCAAAGTTAAAAGTGAGCTATTTCTGTATCGTCTGTGAGTGCCTTCATGAATTCTTAAAGTGAAAAACAGTGTCTTTCAAGGTTGTACCTAAGAGTAAGGTGGCCAGAAACCCAAATCTATTTTGATCCTGAAAAAAGATACAAGTGTATCAAAGCTTGATTTTTATCATGTTGCAATTGTTAGCTATTCCTCAGTTATAGAAATACCATCAAAATCTCTAGGCTAAACGCTAGGGCAGCTAGCAATGAGCACAAAAGGAAATTTTATTTTCCTCTTTGACCTTCAATGCAAACAGCAGGAAGAAATCCAAGATCTATTCAGACATAAGCAGGTAATGGTTAACTATTGACCTTTCCAACAATAGAGAGAAATATTTACAGGTGAATATTATGAATTGAGCTCCATTCAATGCACAGATGTAATTATGTTCTTTTGCTTCCTCTTTCTTTGTGTACGTTTTAGGTTTGTTTTTATTCATAAGCAGAATTTGTGTAGCTAAGGAAAATAAAATATTTTTGTTGTTCCAATGACTTTATTTGCTTTTCTCTCAAAAACCTTATAATAGTGATTTGGTCCCAACATCAATAAAGCCCACATCAGGAATTGTGAAAGGGTTGAAACCTATAGGTAGGAAACATAATATTTTGTTTCATGTTAGCACAACTGGAAATAGAGGTTTAAAAGAAAAATTTCAGTATGACTTGCATGCTCAATTTTACTACATTGTTATTTTGCAAATCGGATCTATCTCTGATAATACTCTGACAAACAATTGTTGGCTAAAAGCCAGCATGACATTTGCTTCCAAAAATAAAAATAAAATAAAATAAAATAAAATATATATATATGCTGTTATGCATTCTTACATATTTTTATATCTAGGTTTCTATTTCTCCTTTATAGCCTTAGGACTTCCCACCCAAGAAATATAGGCTACTCTTGGGCAGCAATCATATGTCAAATGAGTGTATTTTAAGTGCCTAAATTCTTTTCATAACACCATGTGAAAAGATTACAATAACGATTATTGAAAAACTGAGGGAATACTATCATTTGCATGTACTTCTGTTGTGCATTGTAAAATCCTGTTGAATGACAAAACAGAGACAACTGAACTGGTTCCATGTACTGGGAGTGAGGTAAAACCTGAGACCAAGTATATAAGTTTTTAGCCATTCCACCACTGAGATGACACCAAATAACTTTTTTCCAAAGGCCCAAATACTCTCTTTGAAGCAGTATCTATGACTCAGCAATAATTGTTTTATAAAATTTAGCAGAAAATAAATTAAGCAAGCATCTTCATGTACTATATTAAATTGTTAAAATTATGATCAGACCCATTTACTTAATAGATCCCTTAAGTTCAGCATAATTCTTAAACAATAGATTAAATAGTATGTCCTTTAATAAACAATTCAAACAAAAGAATCATACAATTTAGGTTAATGTATGTTCACCCAATAATTTAAAAATTGCCAATACTGGCAGGGTGTGGTGGTTCACGCCTGTAGTCCTAGCACTTTGGGAGGCCAAGGCAGGCGGATCACGAGGTCATGAGATCGAGACCATCCTGGCTAACACGGTGAAACCCTGTCTCTACTAAAAATACAAAAAAAAATTAGCCGGACATGGTGGTGGGCGCCTGTAGTTCCAGCTACTCGGGAGGCTGAGGCAGGAGAATGGCGGAAACCTGGAAGGCGGAGCTTGCAGTGAGCCGAGATCGCGCCACTGCACTGCAGCCTGGGCGAGAGAGTGAGACTCAGTCTCAAAAAAAGAAAAGAAAAACAACAACAACAACAAAAAAATGCCAGTACTTCATAATGTTTCAAAACCTAAATGTCTATTACTTATGTTTGCCAAAGCCAGCACCAAACTGTGAATATATTTAAGATTTACAGTGGGAGCTGTAATTTCCCAATTCACTTGATCAAAAGGGAGTTCATAATAAGATGCCTTAATAAGATACCTAGAAAAATGAGGACTACAGCAGAGGCTGATTAGCCTGTTAATTGTCTTGCATTGCTTTTCCTGTTTCCGTTCTTATTCTAATCACTTCATCCCATAGCCTAAAACTGCTATATAAAACCTAGCCTGTGGAGCTACAGCATAGGATTCATCTAAGAGTTTGTTAAAAATGCACAATCTCAGCTCCCACCCCAGACCTACTGAATCAAACTCTGTTTTTAACAGGATTCGTATGTGATTCACCTAAATGTTAATGTTTGAGAAGCACTCACTTTCTGATATGGCTCAATTAAAGACTGCAACAGAAATCTCACAAAGATGTAAAAAATTAACTAGTACGGCATAACATGGTCTGATGTAACTGAAGGACTTTCATATAAATTAATCTTTTCAAAAATTTATCTTTTAAGGATATATTAGATTTCTATTGCTGCCACAAAAATACTATAAATGTATTATTATCTTATAGATAGGTCTGAACTTTTGTGGATCAGAAGTTCAGTATGTGTCTCACTGGGCTAGAGTCAAGGTGGGCGGTGTGAACAGGGCCATATTTCTTTCCGTATATTCTAGGCAGGGAATTGCTTCCTTGATCATTCAGGTTGTGAACAGATTTCAAGTCCTTGCAGTTGTGTGGGGAAGGCCCCTGTTTCCTTGCTGGATGTCAGCTTAAGGACCATTCCTAGTTTTTAGAGGCTGCCTATGTTCATTTTTTATTGGTTTGTGGCTCCATTCCTTCAGCTTTAAAGCCAGCAACAATGGGTCAAGTACTTCTTAGTCTTCAAATCTCTTCTCTTTTTTTCTTCTGTTTCATCTCTCTAAACCAATTTTCTGCCTTCCCATTTCACTTTGTTTGTTTGTTTGTTTGTTTTTGAGATGGAGTCTCACTCTGTCACCCAGGCTGGAGTGCAGTGGTGCCATCTCGGCTCACTGCAACCTCTGCCTCCTGGGTTCAAGTGATTCTCCTGCCTCAGCCTCCCGAGTAGCTGGGATTACAGGTGTCTGCCACCATGCCTGGCTAATTTTTGTATTTTTAGTAGAGACGGGGTTTCACCATGTTGGTCAGGCTGGTCTCGAACTCCTGACTTCAGATGATCCACTCACCTCGGCCTCCAAAATTTTGGGATTACAGGCGTGAGCCACCGCACCTGGTCTTCCCATTCCACTTTTAAGGGCTCATAGGATTAAACTAGACACACCTTGATAATCAGGGATAATTCCCTGTTTCAGTGTTTTAACCTTAATCACATCTGCAAAATTACTTTTGCTGTGTAAAACAACATCTTCACAGGTTCTGGGGATTAGGGTATAGACATCTTAGGGAGAGGAGATATTATTTTGCCAACTGCAGAGTCTTATCTTTAATAAGATACAAAGCTTACAATGACCTCTTCCAAATACAGCCCTAATGAGAAAGTCACAGAACTCTGTGGTGATATAACATTTCATTTTGATTTGAAATAAGTTGGAGGGATAGAGTAGAGAAAGACCTTGATTCAGCTGGATATTCCTTGAATAAAAAAACATTCAAGAGCGATGTATTTTATAATAGCCTTCTCGATATTCACTTATAGAGGACTCTGGACACAGTTATGTATTTTTTAACATACTTTCGATTTATTCATTACTATTGACTCAGTCAAGTTTAACATTACTGTTTAAAGTGTCTCAAGCACTGCAGTAGGCCTACGATAGGATAAGTGAACCAAGTGATACTTAAGAACTCACTTTAACAGCTGCCATCCAGATTCATGTGTATAAATAACAGTTCTAAAGTACACATAGGATAATATAGTAAGTAGAAAGAGTCAAACATATGAAATTGCTCAAATAACAATTCTATAAAATAAAAATTCAAGAAAGTTGTTAGCATTTTGCATTTCATGTCTTTGTCAGATCATTGTGGAAATTACCTATAGCTTTAAGAAAGAGTAGAACTAATAACCTTAGAAGAATGCCTGGATTTATGAGTCTGTCTTCTGCCAGGTACTCTGTTGATCGGCATACTGATATGGACCGTATTTTTGGTATTCACTCAGAAAATGGTTCTATTTTCACTTTGAAAGCCCTTGACCGGGAATCATCTCCTTGGCATAACATCACTGTTACAGCCACAGAAATAAGTAAGTTGGAGCTACATCTACCCGAAGACACTGTCTTTCATCAAAGTGGTAAAATAATAGCACCAGCTAGACTCATTTTCTTGAGTGGTATGATTGTATCCTTAGCAAGATCTTAGAGAAATGGCTTAGAATATCAACACATTTTTAAATTATTTTTAAGGATTATCAAATCATTCATTTCAAATTTGATTTTCTTTTACACCTTATATAGGAGAGAAATATAATTTAACCTCATAAAAATAATCTAAGAAAATTATCTATTACAAATAATACTTCATTCTCAATTATGTTTTCCTCAATTTTATTGTGCTTTTCTTTTGGACCATGTAAGAGAGCTGAGATATTCATCAGCAGCCCAATTGAGAAAGTGAACACCACAAAAAGGATCTGTTGCTAAGCTACAAATGGGTGAGTGGTTTCACTGCTTCTGTGTAAATGAGACTGAAATCTTACACGTGTTCTCGTTGCAGATAACCCAAAACAAAGTAGCCACATCCCTGTCTTCATCAGAATTCTAGATATAAATGACCATGCTCCGGAATTTGCCATGTATTATGAAACATTTGTTTGTGAAAATGCAAAACCTGGGCAGGTAAATAAAATCATTAAAAACTTAAAAGAATATATTTTCTCTTTACAAAGTCAAATGACATTACATCACTTTATTTGCAGGATTTCTTTTGTGCAGGCTGTTGTCAATACTTCTTGTCCACCATTTATCCTTAACAAAGAACTCACAGTGATTTTTTAAAAAGGTGATTTAAAAATGTTTTTATAATGGAATCAATAATATAGTAGGGAATATTATAACATATGTTTTAATTTATATACTAGGTTTATAGTGAATATCACATATGTAGAAGCTGTTACCTGCATTCATAATTATGCTTATGCTGAGTTATCTTCACTAATAGAATGAAAATATATCATTAAATAAAACCTGAAGTATGAAAATGAAATTGTTTCATGTTATTATAAAGGTAATCATAATCATTGTTTTCTTGATTACATTTTGCCACTTTTAATAGTTTCAGATTTTGATATGAGTGATATTTTGTAAGTTTTAAAGTTTCATATCATTGAAATGAAGTAGATTTGTTTGTAAAAGAATTATGAAGTCTTCTTACAAAGTAATTCTTTCAAATGTATATAAAGTAATTCTAAATAAATGCAGAATATGCTCATTTTTGACAAAAAAATGTAGTATTTTTCAATAACAGTAACTGCATAAATTTTACCAAAAGTAATTTAACCATGTAATTAACTACTTTAAAGATAAAATAGGTAGATGTTAAGAATCATCTTTAATTCTGTCATGTCTCTTTAAGGTAGAAAATAAACTGAAATACAGTTTTTCTTCTATTCCAATAGAGAATATTATGAACTGAATGTTTGTAGCCCTCCTCCAAATTCAAATCTTGAAAATGTAACCCTAGTGTCATTGTATTTGGAGATGGTGTTTCAAAGAAGTAATTAAGATGAAGTGAAGTTATAAGGGTATAGAGCCTGATCTGATGGAATTAGCATACAAAGAAAAGATAACAGAGAGCTCATGCTCTCTCTTTCTCCCTGTCCCTGAATTCGTGGGCCAAGGAAAAGCCATATGAGAGCACTCAGGGAGAAGGTAGCTATTAATATTTGCAAGCCCTCACCAGAAGCCAACCATGCTAGCCTCTAGATCTCAACCTTACATTCTCCAGAACTATGAGAAAATGCATTTCTGTAGTTTAAGCCATTGAGTGTGTGGGATTGTTATGGCAGCCCAGCTGACTAAGACAGAGATACACAGTACATTCCACCTACATATACAAAAATGCAAATGAGATTTTTATTTGTAATAACATGGAATTTTCACATAGCTATTTGGATAAAAATGTGCTTTTCTTTTTCATTTTGCAACATATAATGGGCATCTCAGTTTAGTAAATGATTTTTTTGAATTTGATGCTTAATTTTCATAACATAGTTACATATTACTTATTCAATTATTACCTTCTTAATGGAAATTTGGTTTATCCACAAAATGTTACCCTAGCAGTACCCCAGTTATACTATAATGAACACTGTAGTACATTTTGCTTGTTTACCACCTGGTACTCTTTCTTTTGATATAATTCTCAAAGTAGGAAAAATTAAATTGTATCTATAAATATTAATAACTATTCCCAAATACTTCTCCAAATCTGTCGTAAACTAGGTGATATTCCCACCAAATACATATGATTGCCTATGTACTTGGCAACTCTAGATTTTAAATGTCTGCCAATATGTAAATTTCTCATAACACTTTTAGTGTGAATTCTTTTAAAATCATTAAGGCCAAACATTTTTTTTTCATAAAAATGTGGACTTAAAAATAATTTACAGCTGTATTAGTTTCCAAGGGCTGCCATGACAAATTACCACAAACAGAATGACTTAAAACACAGAATTTTATTTCTCATAGTTTTGGAGGCTGGAAGTATAAAATTAACACGCAGCAGGGCTATCTATGCTCTCTCTAAAGGTTCTAGGAGACTATCCTCCCTTGGCACTTTCTAGCTTCATGTGCTTGCCAGCCATCCTTGACATCCTTTGGCTTGTGGACGCCAATTACTCCAATCTCTGTCTCCATCATTTCATGGCATTCTTCCTGTATCTGTTTCTGTGTCCAAACTTGCTTCTTCTTATGAGGACTCCAGTCATCGAATTAGAGTCCTCCTTAATTTAGAATGATCTTATTTTAACTTGATTTTATCTGCAAACGGCCTATATCCAAATAAGCCACATTCACAGGTACTGGGATTTAAGACTTGAACAGATATTTTGGGGGAACACAAGTCAACCTACAATCACATATAAATATTCTTTACTCACTTATCTATCAGTATGCTTGTCTTTTACTGATTCATGTGTGTTATTGATATATTATATGCTAATATTTTATAGAAATTAAGTATAATTAATATTAACTAATTATAATTATTTAATATATATTACCCTAATTGAATTTAACAAAGTTAAAAATAAAATAGATTTTAAGTATATGTATATCC
Source organism: Homo sapiens (assembly GCF_000001405.40). Classification (NCBI taxonomy): domain Eukaryota; kingdom Metazoa; phylum Chordata; class Mammalia; order Primates; family Hominidae; genus Homo; species Homo sapiens. Next base: position 26,887,392 of record NC_000005.10, on the reverse strand, counting down.
TCATAAAATATACTTATACAAAGCTCATCTAATAATTTCAAGACTTCAAATGTCATATATAACTAAAAGACCAACTTTTTATGATTTAAATTATTACTAAAAGTTAGATTTGTTATTGCTATGTAGGAACAGAAGGTTGAGCAAAAATATTAGATCCTATATAATTATTTTCTTATATTCCAATTTTCTAAGGAGAAAAGTTTATTAAAAATTGTGCATTGTGCACTTTCAAAAGCACTTTATTAAAAATACAGTTACATATCATGCTGTCAAAATGATGTAATTATCATTAATATAAAATTAAAGTGAAAATAACACTGACTAGTGAGTATGTAGGTTAGTATAGTTATAAAAGGTATACAGTAAAACAATGGAAAGCTTAAACTATTGTGAATTTCAATAACTTTTCACCACACAATGTTAGACTATGAGACCTGTCTATTTTTGTAGAAGAGAACGTTAAAAGTCAGAGTAATTAAATGGCTGTGATTTCAAATCACACAGATGGGAGGCAACCCAATGTGTAGCTCAGTGCTTTTTCCACTATAAAATGCTCAGTGAAATTTTTCTGCCCAACCCATAGTTGGCTGTTCCATATTCCATTAGGACACACTTCTTATTTACTTACACTAGCTCAGCCAAGAGGTGCTCTAATTTTGAAACTTCAACATTGATTTTACAAAATCTTAAAAGCATTTCTTTGTATATCTGTCTTTGCAAATACTGTTAAAGGAAAAGCAAGCAATTTAAATAAAATAGTTCAATTATAGTAATGGTGTCCATAGCTTCAAAATCATTTTCTTTCTGATAGTACAGACAAATTTATTTATTTTAAAAATATATTAATAATATTGTTAATATATAGGAGGGATTGTGCTAAGCATTGGTGTTTTTAAAAATGCATCTTCTGTGTACTCGTCCTTTGAAGAATTATTGTCTAGTGGAAGTAACAGATTGCTCATCAATTAATAATACAATGGACTGTGCCTTTCAACAATATCAAAAGAGGATAGGTATTGGAGGGATTGAATTTTTCTTTAAGCTGGCCAGGTATAAGACAATAATGCATTAAGATACCTTGCAAACCATTGCTTAATGGATGTCTTCCACTCTTAACTAAATAAGTTATCTAAGACAAAACTGTAAAAAATAAGACATTGGCATAATTTTCTGAAAATGGCATTTATTTTGTTTTCTTGCTTTGTTTTCGTGATGTATTTAAAGCACAAATACATGGATTTAAGATATCTTGTAATAACAAGAACATTGCCTTAGGCTTAATTAATTAATTAATTAATTTTGGTTTCAGTTGATTCAGACTGTCAGTGTCATGGATAAGGATGACCCTCCCCGAGGTCACAAATTCTTTTTTGAACCAGTGCCAGAATTTACTCTCAATCCGAATTTCACCATTGTAGATAATAAAGGTATAAGAAAATTTCTAAAACTAAAAATTATGAAACTTTAAGATACACAGTTAAAAACAAATATGAAAGTTTTTGTTTTTTTACATGTTTTCTCCCCCAGATAATACAGCAGGAATCATGACTCGGAAAGATGGCTACAGTCGCAACAAAATGAGCACCTACTTATTGCCGATTTTAATCTTTGACAACGATTATCCAATTCAAAGCAGCACTGGTACACTCACTATCCGTGTGTGTGCCTGCGATAATCAAGGAAACATGCAATCCTGCACCGCAGAAGCCCTGATCCTTTCAGCCGGCCTGAGCACGGGAGCTCTCGTTGCGATTCTACTCTGTGTCCTCATACTGCTTAGTAAGCTCTGCCCCTCTGAATGATCCTTTAACTCACAAAAATCTCTCCCTCACTGTCTGAGCATGGTGCACTGAATAACAATTTTCTCTATAGATAAAGATAGAACATTTTCACTTTTTATTAAAATTCTTCTTTCAATTAGGAAAAAATAAGCGTTTTTGTGTGTGGGGATAGGCCCAGCTTTCCAGAGACCAAAAAGAAACATCTAACAAATGCTATACACATGCGTATTTAAAAATATATACTTTATAGCATTAGCTATTATATTTTTGACTATGTTCACTGTTCTAAGGACATTTGATTTCATTGATTTCATCTTTGCATCAACTGTATAAGGTAAATACTTTTCTTCTAGAGAAAGGCTGCATAATTTACTCAGTCACTCATTTAGGAAAAGCTTTAGCTAGTATTCAAACACAGATTACTCTACCATAGAGTTCTCCTTTCTATTATTCCCAAACCAAAGACTACTTTGCCCTTATAGTTACTAACTGTTAACAGTTACTAACATATTCTGAATTATCTATATCAGATGTCTAACATGCAAATGTGTTAAAGTTGTCACAGTAAGTTAGACATTTTCCCCTATATAACTTGTTGTGCATTGGTGTGACATAACAAATTAAAAAATTAAAATTCTGTTTTAAAAAATATCACTATGTCGCTGTGGTCCTACCTAGCCCTGCAATATTTTCTAAATAAAGTCATGTTCCAACAGCGAATGTTTTATTTGAGCATGCACTAACAGGACAACGATTTAATTCAATTAAACAGTTGTTCCACTGGAAAACATTCCCCAAAAAATTGTTTCTATCAAATATTCAGCCCAAATGCTTATGCTTAGGGCAGGAGAGCTAGCCAAATTTATGTTCTAATGCTCGTATGTGCTAGCTCCTTTTCTCTGCAAATCCTTTCAAGCTATCTGGATGAAATCCCTTTGGCCAGATATCCTTGCAGGACTTCAGTAGGGGATTGATGAAAGTGAGGGAAAAACATTTGTCTCAGTTAAGATGTTCCAACTATTTTGAAAAACATTTTCTCAGTGTGGTTTAGAACAAACACACTGCTACCATCACCATCAGCAGTTTCAATCCCCACCTACTGCTAGAGAGTTCAACTCCTCTGTAAAATATTTTTATATTCCTATGGAGATAAAAATTTGGCTTAGCCTTTTAGCTAAGTGCTACTGATTTCACGTTGTTTTATTCGCTCAGGAAGTTCCACTTTCCTAATTTAGAACAACATGTAAATATGTTTATTGTTAGATCATTTTTAAAATTTCTATATTAATGTAATGCACATACACACAAAGACAGTCATGCACACATAGGGAACTGAAAGCATCCCCCCAAATCAGTTTAGATATTTTAACATTGTCAAATTAATTTGATACTATTTTTTTCTATGCAGAAATCCTAGAAGGTTTCCTCTTCTGTTCTGCAGTCAGCCACCTTTGTTCCTTGAGCAATATGGAAAGCACTAATTTCTTATTTTTCACTTTCCCAGCTCATTGCCTAAATGTGGAGTAATTTTTTATTATTGTAGTTAAAATTGCTTCTAATTTAGAAATTTATATTTGCAAAGTTATTAAAGCACTTTATTGTTATTTTGAGTCTTTATGGTAATAGCTGGACGTAGTTAATGCATTTCTATAGTTAAGAGAGTTTGCTTTTCATAAGATAGTGACATAGCACTGACAATAATATTTTAAATGTACTTTCGTACATTTTGAAGAAATGTAGCTCTTAGTTTATATCTATTTTATAAGGCAAGATGGAAGATTAAAATCTAGGGCAGGGCTTTTTAAACTTTTTGGTTGTAGGGACACTTTTCAGCCTGATGAAAAGAATGGATCTAGCCAGAATGATGATTTAAATTTATTAGAGTAAAACATGTAAGACAAAAAGGAAATACGCTTACACAAATGAAACAAAAAACACAAAGAAAACCGTGCTTGCTTATCAAATCACACATGCTGTGTTCTGGAGCAAGTCTAACTATGGTTTGATTTATCTGTCAAACTGTAATGCAATATGAAATATCTGTCACACACACTGCCACTATCACCATAGTTTATGCCAATAATCCTATTGAAAAAAATGCTAAATTTGAGTTACAGATGGATGGAAATAATGATGTACTTTTTTTCATTTCTTATCCTATTCTTCCTGAATTCTGTTCACGTGCCCCAGATTAATAACCTCAATCTAAGAAATGATCGGATAATTTTAATACGGTAGAAAAGGAAAAGCTCAGAACAGATTCTAAGGACCATTTGTGGGAATTAGTACATTTTTATTAGTTGAGAAACCCTTAATACAATTTGACTACACAATTGTTATTTTACTGATTGAAAAGTGGAGAACTTATAAATTTATTTAATATTAAATTTAGAAAGAAATCTCTTTTTCTAGTGCATGGCTCAAATTTGATAGATGTCAGATCTATGTTGGACTTAATTAATCTTATGTCCATCTTTTAAAAGAAGAGTACAGAGGTCTCATTTTTACTGCAGTTTTATATATATATATATATATATATATATATATATATATATATATATATATATATAAGATGATCCTGAATATAGCTCAGCTTCCAAAGCCCATTCTGTGAAGGCTAACTACAGATACTTCTAATTATCTTTCATAAAATCTTACTTTCAGTTAGGAAGAGCTGAGAAAAGTCTGCTGGCCAATGTGAAAATAACACTGGACAGGGCTTTAGTGTAGTTATAGGGGCCTCACGGGCCATGTTGAAGTGTAGTCTCAATGACAATGAGTATGCTTTGTTTAATCTCAATGTAAAAATTGAGAAAAAGAATAATAGCTTCTTCAGCCAACATTTTCTTATTTTCTGTGAAGCATAAATAATACTGACAAACAGTTAAGAACCCTAAAGTAAAGGAAATCTAGTTTGTATTTTTCCCTGGTAATGCTGAAGTGTGTTTTGAAGATATTTTCTTGGTTTTATTCTCACCTTTCTTATATGTAAAGCTATGGGCTTGTGCAATCTTTAATGGAAAATTTATATTTTTAAAATCGTGTTTGCTTCTTTTAAAATGAATCTTATTAATTGCAACATGCATTTATTAGAAAAAGGTTCATCTTCCAGTACACATAATTTGAATCCCAGTATTATAATGAGAAATAAGAAAATATATTATATGAGGGGAAGTTCACAGTTAACTATGTAACATAGACATGTAAACAATAAAAATAATACAGCAAATAGAGGGAATACAATTAACGTTTCATTCCAAAAGCTTAAATCGGACCTTGTATGTCAAGGAAGTCCTCATTAACAAGATACAGTCTGAGGTGTTTTGCACGATAAGTTAAAGATGAGTTTGAGTTTGAGTTTTATATTGTAACTTTTAGAGTTATATTTCAGCTTTCTAAGCCTCCTATAAAATTAGACCAGTAAAGGAATTTAGTTAAACCTATGAGATACGGGAAGTGGTAAAATCAGTGACTCATACATATTCATGTATGTGTGTATGTACACTCATAATATATAAATATAATGCATATACAAGTATATATGTATCTATATATGAGTAATGTTTTGCATATATTCCCTTGAATCATTAAGAAATGATACTTGTGCCAAAGTGAAAGGAATGATCAATATCACCATGAGTAGAGCTTTAGTGTTTTTGTATTTGAAATGAGTGCACATTTGGAAAGACTGCTGAGGTGTCAGGCAATTGCAGTTGGATAAATATAATAGTTGTACTTGAATAAAGCCAGAAGTTCATAGGAGAGTATGTCTTGACAGTAAATTAAAGGCATGGTAATATCTGCTCCTTTATCAATACAGTGCATCCAGTCATTGCCTAGAGGAACTCTGTATTTGTACAGGGTAGTTAATTCTTTTTATTCGATCAATCTTAATATCTCCTGCACCAAACGAATTTCACACTCAGAAGTGTACTCTATTTTATCCTGACTCATGAAATCTCACTATTTTCCCATTTCTTATTAATAGTTTTAGTCGTGTTGTTTGCTGCATTGAAGAGGCAAAGAAAAAAGGAACCTCTGATAATTTCAAAAGACGATGTCCGGGACAACATTGTGACCTACAACGATGAAGGCGGCGGGGAAGAAGATACCCAAGCTTTTGACATTGGCACATTAAGGAATCCAGAGGCAAGAGAAGACAGTAAACTTAGACGGGATGTAATGCCTGAAACTATTTTTCAGATAAGGAGGACTGTGCCTCTGTGGGAAAATATTGATGTACAAGATTTTATCCATCGAAGATTAAAAGAAAACGACGCAGACCCAAGTGCACCTCCATATGATTCGCTGGCAACGTATGCCTATGAAGGGAATGATTCCATAGCAGATTCGCTCAGTTCTTTGGAATCTCTCACAGCTGATTGTAACCAAGATTATGATTACCTCAGTGACTGGGGGCCTCGTTTCAAAAAACTTGCCGATATGTATGGGGGTGATGATAGTGACCGAGACTAAGAGGATTGTTTGACTTAATCAATATTAGTGGAAGTACTGTCTATGTTATTAGATTGAGTGGCCTGCATTCTCTTCCTGGGAGGAAATCTTTCAAAAATTGAAGTTACAAACAATACGTAGATGTTGTCAAGTAGGGATTTGCTTAATCAGTAAGTCTTTGTGAATGAATACGAATGATACAGATTTTTAAAAAAGTAATAACCAGTTCACCCTCTTTGCCTAACAATCTCGGAAGGAAAATATATCACATCAATAATCAATAAAAATAAGTAAAAGGCTTTTTGTGCCTTTTCTTAGGTATAATAATTTATAAATGTTTTCTTAACTGACTTTCAGTCACCTTTACAATTAAACTAAATATTGTGCAACCGCTTTGTAAATTAATATGAAGAAGATATATCCCTAATGAAATAGGAATGACTATTACTGCCATATTTATTTAGTTGAAGAATGTCTTTGTGTTAATTCATTCATATTTTTATAAATGTATATTTATATTTTTGTATTTTTATGAAATAAACTAGTATTTATAAAACACATTTCATTTTATTTAATTCCTAGAGGCAGATCTGATCTCATTTATAACAAAAATGTTTTACACCTTTAAATGTAAAACGTGATTCACTCAGGGAATAAGCAGTTCAGAAACTACTGCATGGATTTGGACCTACAATGTAGTGAAACTATAAAATAGCTTTGGTACAAATTGTTATTTTTCCGTTTCATCACTTAAATATTGACTAATGTTTATAGAACCACTGATGTCTAACCATCAATAGAGTATGAGACACATTTGGAATATAAAATATTATATATATACATATATATATAGTTGTGGATAATAAACTTTAAGTTTTTATTGCAAGTCTTTACTATGGATCAACTAGTGGATTATATTTGAGAGTAAATGAAGTGTGTATCAGTAATGTCATGTAGATATAGAAAAAATCTAAATCAACCTTCTCTAAAATGAGAAATCACAGTTCTAATTTTTTTTTCTTCATGATGAGACAATTAATGGAATATGTGCTCAGGTGTGGGTAACATGTTTAAAATGTGTATTGAAGACTAGAGAGCTTGTTTTTAAATTTATTATTTTATTGAGGAAATTCCAAGTCATTATATTTGAGAAAATTTTGAAAGAGCTAAGGAAAAGTAGAGAAAAGAAACCTAAAAGAATGCAATGGTTAACTAATGATTGCGATTGTCCAGAAAATAGAATGTAGGCACCTCAAAGCATGGGAGAGAAGAAGAGATGGGAATCGTAAACAATCATCATCTGCAAATATTTGAAAGACTGCCATGTGTAATCTGGCCCTGATATGGCCTACAGTGTAAAACTTAAACCAAGATAGGGGAACTTCACAGAGAGATTGCATGTTATCTATTTTCTGTGCCAAGAATTAACCTTTTATTCCTCTTTAATTATTCATCCTTTAGGCGGCAGATGCCATGCTCATGGTGATTCCTAGGTGGAATTCATATAGGAGAAATTTAACTTTGTCTAGTCTGTTACCAAGAGATTTTACTGAGCAAATACAAAATTATAAACATGTACTTATTTGTTGTTATATCACTATGTTGTAAAGTTTTTGTAGACCAGGACTAACTCAAGAACTTTATCTTCAGTAACTAACACACATTAAAGATTGAATTTAATGCTAAGAAAAAAAACATACTGGACTATTAAGAATTACTTGAAATGTTTCTCAGGACACAATCACCCAGGAAACAGAAAGATTTTTAGTTTCAGTTTTAATTTAGATAATTTTAGTTTTATCTTAGAAAGGAATTAGTTCCCCCATTGCCAAAACTCATCCATCATAGATCAGACAAATACTCGAATAGGATATGTAGAGTGGGTTGAGGTGATTAAAAATGTTAGGCATCGAGCAAGGCCTCTTATGATCACTTTATTCTATAATCACTACAAGGTTAAATAACAATAAGTAAATCAGCTCTAAGAAGACCTATACTGACTGTACATGTAATGGCTGTTTAAAAAAAGAAGACAATATGTGGCAGGAGAGATGAGGAAATTCGTAGTTACATAGCTTGCCTGGGCTTACCATGCTTGAAATACTAAGAACACTGCAACAAACCAAGCTACCTACAAGCTGTAGATCTCTGATTGATATGAGAGAGTCAGATTGTCATTAGATAGAATGAGACATTAAATATTTTAACTTGCGAAATATTATTTGGCTGTCTTTTTTTGAGAAATAATGAAGTTAGTTTCAAAGTTCTCACTTTTCTTGATCTGTGAAATGACTGCCCTATGGTAGTCTTTGTAAGGAGGACAGAGCTAGAAGAATTAATATTAACTGGTATGTGATTGTTTTTATATACCTGACTTAAAAGCAATGAATCAGAGGATCTGATTGAATGAAGGAAATTAACAGATCTGTGTAACACTAATACTTTCTATACTTTTCCAGTAATCTATGAAATGTCCATAATAGGAAAAATGCATTCAGGAGCCAGATGGACCAGATTTTATTATTTCCTTACTAGCAAACTAAATGAATCATTGAAATTCTTCAGAAAAACAGACATCATAATATTCACCCTGTTGAATTTGGAATTTATTTTACTAGATGCACACAATATTCTCAGTAAGATTTGTTTCTGTTACTTTATTCTCATGAACTATGGGGTTGTTAAAATTTGAAGATAATTTATTCTTAATGTGTACTTACCAAACTAAATTAATTAGCTCTGATTATTTCAAACTAAAATAGAATTAAATTAAAATCAATTGAGTAACCATTATCCCAAATATAATTAAACTTAATTTCATTGTTTTATTTAGAAAGTTCAATAATTTTTAGAATATGTCTGTATTTATATCTGAATTTCTTTCAGTATGAATAACCTGTCTACACTATTTACATTTTAATACACAGTGGAGATATTATTCCATTCAATTTTGCTCTCAGGCACATTGAATCTATTTCAATGACTTAAATACCAAATTTAGTAAAGAAAATAAAATAGAATTAACAATAAAAGCAAGCAAACAAACAAGAAAAAAGTAATAATACCTCACCTTAGTCAGTGGTGGATATTGATCATTCCTTTCAGTTTGGCACAAGTATCATAATTAGCCTCCAGGATTCTTTATTCTGTTGGTTGTTCTTTAACTTTACCCAGTCTTCTTTACTGGTTCTTTCTCTTCTTTTCTTGCTCTCTGTTTTAGAGTTGTCCAGGCTTTTTTCTTTTCTAGTTAAATTCAGGTCCTCGGTATTCTTAGCAATTTTCCATGTTACTATACACGTCTATATCTATATCTGTATCTAAGATATAGATTGAAATTTTCTGATTTTATGCCTCCCACTTTCACCTCTATCTAATAATCCGAACATATATCCAACTATTCTAAATTTCTACTTGAATAAACATGTCAAAAGTAACATGTCCAAATTTTAACTACTAATTTTCGCTCCTGTCGTTACTCAACTTCCCCCATCTTCGTTAATGTCAGCTCTATCCTTCTAATTGTCCAGGCCATAAACCAAGCAGTCAATCTTCATTTATTTCATTATGTTATCTTCCATATCTAATACTGTAGAAAATCCTACTAGTGATACCTTCAAAATTTAACTGATATACAATGTCTTTTCATCATATCTCCTGCTACAATGCTGGTCTAATACCCATACTTGGATTATTGCAGTGTTCTTCTAAGTGTTTCTTCTCACTAGCTTCCGCTCCTGCCATCTATTTTCAACCAAATACAGAGCAGGTATGCTTCTTTTTTTAACTAGCTAAGTTTGGACATCTCAGTTCTCTTTTCAGAACTTACCAATTGTTCATTTGCATTGAGACGTAGTCCTCACAGTGGCCTCTAAGGACCTGTCAGATCAGATTCCCGGTATTTCTCTGATAAATTATTCTCATTTCTTTCACTCATTTCAATTAGATTATTCTGGGCTCCTTGTTTTTCCTCAAAACTGGCAAGCATTTTTTTCCATTCGACTGGCTAATTATTTTCTTTGGAATAATCTTTCCCCGGATATCCACAAAGTTAACTTCATAACTACCTTCAAGACCACTTTTAAATGTGACTTTCTTAGTGAGAACTACATTGAACAGTCTATTTAAAATCACCATCCTCCACACCCATTTCTCCTTTCTCTATTTTTAAAAATAAATGTTTGCCACAGCACATAGCACCAGTCAACCTGATATAGAATTTGTTTATCCTTTAACTTTGTGTCTGTCTACCTCTACTAGAATGCTTGATCTCTCCGGACAATAATTTTTATATATTTTATTCATTAAAGTATCTCACGTGCCCAGATTGTTGTCTCATACCTTGTTGGCATGCTGCAAATACTTGCCCAATGTTGAATAAAATGCTCAATATTTGTATATGAGCATTTTAAAAATTTTGTAGAATTATAAATACATGGGAAATGAAAAATAAAATGTGGCTGGGCGTGGTGGCTCATGCCTCATGCCTGTAATCCCAGCACTTTGGGAGACTGAGGTGGCAGGATTGCTGAGGTCAGGAGTTCGAGACCAGCCTGGGCAACACAGGGGAAAACCCATTTTACAGAATTTTTTTAAAAAAATTAGCTAGGTGGAGTTGTGCATGCCTGTAGTCCTAGTTAATTGGAAGGCTGAGTCAGGAGGATGGCTTGAGCCCAGTAGTTCAAGGCTGCAGCGAGTTATAATCACACCACTGCACTCCAGCCTAGGCAACAGAGCAAGACCCTGTCTCAAACATAAATAAATAAATAAATACATACATAAATAAATGTGAAAAAAAGGGAAAATTATACTCAAATTTGCAGCAACGTACCTGCCTTCAATGCAATATTGAATATACTCTAGACTGTTAAATTGAAAGATAGTTTGCTAAATTCTGGTTGATCACAATTAAATCACTATTTGAAAGAATCTTTTCAAAATTTCTGAAAAACTTGAATAATTTTTCAAGTTAAAAAATAAAAACCTGACACAACTAAAATTGTGTTTAATAATCTTGGTTTCTAACAGATAACGGTAAAGGGATTTTACTACATTTCAGACCGTCAATTCTAAATGTCAGAATCAAAACACAAGCTCACACAGAGAAGGAATAAAAATATGTACACTTCTCTTTTGCAATTGTAATTAACTTTATGACGGCCTAGTTATTGGGCAGCTTTTTGCCCACTATTATCTTGTACTCAGGTCATGGAATATGGTTTCTGGCAAGCTGAACAGTTCAGCTCTAAGAAAATGTTGTCTTACTTAAATATGATTAATTACTTTCCAAATTTCAATAAAAATATTGGGACTTTTAAAAAAAAATGCACTTAAATAATTGTTTATAATGCAGTAGAAATATCAGCTACTTCAATCTTTATGGTGAAAATAGCAGCCAGGCACAGTGGCTCATGCCTGCAATCCCAGAACTTTGGGAGGCAGAGGCAGGCAGATCACCTGAGGCCAGGAGTTCAAGACCAGCCTGGCTAACATGGTAAAACCCCACTTCTACTAAAAATAAGCTGGGCTTGGTGTCATGCACCTGTAATCCCAGCTCCTTGGGAGGTTGAGGCAGGAGAATTGCTTGAACCCCAGAGGTGGGGGTTGCAGTGAGCCAAGATCGTGTCATTGCACTCTAGCTTGGGCACTAAGAGCAAAACTCCATCTCAAAAAAAAAAAAAAAAAAAAAAAAAAAAAAAAAAAAAAAACACACTGACAATAGCAACCCAGAGACATTGAACCTCATCTGACCTAAGTCAGTGTTTTGTTTTGTTTGTTTTGGAAAATATGTTGCTAGCTCATATTGTGTTTAAAACTGTAACAATTTACCACACTATGGACCGCATTTAAAAATCAAGATATTTTACCTATAAATTATTCTCTCTAGATTTTCTAAAATAATGTAACAGTTAAGTTAATTTAAGCATTTATTCATTATATTTATGTCCCACTAAGGTAATTTTATAACTTGCCACTTCATGTCTATAACAGTTTTCTTTTATATGTTTTAACATTCTTATTATTTATGAACTGATAAGTACAAAACTCTTGAGAGTAATAATTTTTCAACAATATATAACTATATTTCACAAATAAGAGGCTTATCTTTTTATTATATTTAATTTTAGTGTAATCAAAAATATATATGTTATGGTGTATGCTATTCCATGACATTTTTGGCTTGGTTTTCTATGTTTCCTTATTACTAATTCTGCCCCAGACTCTATGGCAGTTGTCTAAATTTCAGCTTCAGACACAAACAAGTAGGGAATCGATTTTAGATTCTTGAGGAAATCTCTACTGCAGTTTGCTGAACTGCTCCAGTCTGGACAGACCAGTTCCTCACTCTACCTGTGCTGAGCCCTCATTCTGGTGTTTCGTTCTACCAGCAACTGGGGATGGCCTTGATCTCCCCTGAAAAGCTAGAGTCCCGAGCCTCACATCCCACAGCAATCACATTCTGTTGTTTTCCTTGCTCTGCCTCCTCCCGAGTATAAGATAATTTGGACTACACATCTCCAAAATGATGTTATTGTTTATTTTTGTCTAATATTGTAGCTTTGTTATACTTTAAAAATATTCCTGGTAATCAATTGTGCTTTTTGCTCTGGCTGTATTGGGCACTTTGGAGTTGTGCTAGAAGGAAGGATGTATTTTAACTCCTTGGTCATCAGAAATCTCTCTTACAGATACTTACATGCTGTTTTATTAAATTATATTATCTGCTGCTCCTTGCAGGTATTGAGCATTTAAGTTGGTAACTTCTATTATGTAACATTAGCTACAATTTTTTAAATGTTATAAATGCTGTTAATAAATACCTTATTTTTGATTTTTGATGATTTTAAGTCCAGTACATAATCCTTATTCATATTAGCAAATAAGAAATTCATATGTAGAAAATTACAAGAAAAATATCTTTTCAGGTGATTATGTTCTTGAGATGAATGTAAGTATTCAGATTTTTTTATTTGTCTTTACATTCATTTAATACTACTTTTCAGTGCATTTTATTCTAGATTCATTTAATGCCTTTCATATATTAGAAATTTATTATGCACACATTCATTTAATAGCCAATTATAACATGACCCGGAACAGCATTTATATGGCAGCAAATGAAACCAGGGCAAGTATACTATTCCTATATATTTACTTGAATTAAGAGTTCTAATTATCAGAGCATGTCACATTTATAACCACTTTATAATTTAACTTCTTAAGAATACTTCAGTTTTATGACATGGTAGTTTCAAACTTTTTTTTCATAGAAAATACATTAGAGCCTTTTTTATTAAATATAGGATTATTATACTTATAAAAGTAATGATTTTAATCAAAAGTATTCTTGATGCTTCAAATTTTAATTTATTTTCTTCAGGATGCTATGTCTAAAAAACTCCATGGATAGAGTCTTACGTAAGTGAATAATTAATTGATTTATTAATTTTATAAATTCTTTTTAAATACTAGCATTATGCAAAGCCATGCAACAAATTTAAAATAGTATAATGCGCACCTCTTATTTTCTTAAGATTTTGGAATTCAGTTCAATAAACACAATTAACTAAAATATAAAGTGGTATGTGATAAGGGCTTAGAAATAACAGAATTAACAAAATGTGTTTTTGGCTTCACATTTTTAGGAGTTTTCAAGTCACATTATATTGTTTAAAAATTGTTGAATGAAGATTGCTATATCCAGTAAAAATCAATCAAAGGTACCTTTGAATAACATATGTAAGACACTCTCTGGTTGATTAAACTCAGCCAATTTTGCTACTAAAATTTAATGTCACGGTTTGTTAACAAGGAGTCTGACTCAATTTTTTGATGTTTGACTGCTGATAGCTTTCGAGCCTCATCCTTCCCTTTTCCCCTTGATCCCCGCTTCTGGACAAGCTGGCAAGAAAGTGCTGGTATTCCCTCCTTTGGTGCAGGCAAGAAATTCAAATCTCATAAATCCTCGCTACATGAGCAAGATCTCACCAGCTTATACAATAAAAACCTAGGCAAGTCTCTTTCCTTCCTCTCTCTAGCCATTTAGGATCTTCCTGAGAGTCCTTCCTGCTCTCCCCAGAGACCTCAGTTACATAAATGATCAACCTTTCCATAACCTCTTGATGTGTGGGGGGCATCGTTAGTGTCAATGTCCATACCAAACTGTAAGTGAAGGTCCATCAGCCTTTGCAAAGTTACCGATGTCTAAAATGGTTATTTGATTAGGCTAACTGCAACTTAATACACACAGAACTCTGATAAACATTTAAAGAGAAATATTTTGCATTGCCTTTTTATTCCCATCTTCACAATACTTTAAAGATAATATCTTCTAAAGATTTTCTTATAAAGAAATGGCTCAAAATTGTATTGTATTTATTTGTTAAATACTATATATTAGTATAGAATGTATTTGTGATTTTAACTATAGGGTGATTTATATTGGATTATTGAAAGACTAAAGAGTTTCGTAAATAGAGGCATAGAATAACAACATGTATTAACATATGTGAAGCCCAATGAACATGAATTGAATACTTGATAAATGCCAGGCATTGTACTAATCATTTTACGGGGATTACTCATTGAATTCTTAAAAGTCTTTCACTTGGTTATAATTCTTATCTCCACTCTATATAATAGGAAACTGAAACCTATATAACGTCACAAGTTGGTAAAATGTGGAGGGAAGTTTTAAATTCAGACAGTCTGACTCAGTAGACTTTCCTTTTAATCAGTATATTATTCCAGATCAGCATCATTGTATAAAACTCAGAGGATGGTGGCATTGAGCTGGGAACTGTCTAATCAAATTATTTTTCTCAGATAATATAATATTATATTCAATTTGCTGAGAGAGAAGAAAAAATAATGAATGGTCTAATAAGAGTTTGGAGTTTTGAAAAAACAAAAAATATGACATTTTTCTTGTAAAGAAAGGATCTGAAATTATACAAACAAGGTCTTGATAAGGATAATATCTGAAACTGATGCCATTAAAAGTCTAATAATAAATAGCCAAAGCTAACTTAAAACTGCAGTATATTAAAGCAATGTCCCCTGCTGTAGTATAAAGCAAGCAGTTTAGTATAGTACCTACAATGAAGATTTACTGTGTACTTATATTATATTCATTACCATTCTTGAAAGGCTGAAAATAAGGATAGGCTAGGTGGAAAAATGAGAAATGTCATTAAAGAACAATATAATAATATCTGCCTTATAGAAAACATCCAAATTTTTAACAAATAATTTTTAGTAACTATAAAATCAATGTCCAAAAAAAATCATAACAGTAAAGCTAAAATGCAGCACATCAGAAAATTTCTGTCAATTATCCCTCTCAAAGGGAAAAAATCATCTCTGATTGGAGAAATTCTCACAGAATTTTGTATAATATTATTTGACTGTGGATACATCATGTGGTGTGTTTGTAGGGTTAGATATAAGTCCACTTTTCATTGAAAGCTGAAGTGTCTGAGACTTCTGCAAAAACAAACACTAATAGATAAATGTGTATTCACACCTTGAAGACAGATAGGAAGTACCGTGACAAACAGAGATTTGAGATCAGGAGTGAGACCATATGTCTGACATATCCCTATGATGCTTTAAAACTGTGAAAGACCGTTTTTGAATTAATCTGAGGAGCAATCAAATGAAGATGAGGACTAGCAGCAGTTAAGTCTAATTCCAAGAAATAATATTGAACATCACCCCTGTTATTAGGTACATCCATCATAAAGAGAACAGCCTGGAATTTAAGAACATCTTTCTGGGGAAATGAGAAACTAGATAAATGAACAAAGGTGACACTAATTTCAATATTTATTTTTCTCTGGCCTCTGAATAAGATGCTGTGTTTTTGTTTTGTTTATTTGTTTTGTTTTTTGTCAATGGTATTCAATTAAATAAAATCTCAGAGGTGAACCAAGGAGGTATTTTAGTAGTCCTTTGCTCTGCTCCACACATATCCACCCATTTCTCCAGCATGACTTTAAATGTGTCAAAGTGCAAATATTTTCTACAGTGCTGAGACAACTTTGTAATGACAGAAAGCTCCATACGCTGCCAAGGGCAAAAACTAGTATAACATTTTGTTAAACAGAAGTAAATGTATTGGTTCCCTGTCATATGCTGACATCTATATAACAATATATTTTGACAGTGTGGAGGGTTATGTTATCTGAATATGTTTAAAAACTGATATTTTAATTTTTATAGAAACATAATCCACACTTTGAATCACAATTCATCGTTTATTGGGAAAGATCTATCTGGGAAACATCGTTTTCTAAATATCCCACTTATTTTCCATTCACTACAATGGTCACATTCTGTATTGGTGGCAGCATGCTAATATACTGTGTAACTTGTAAAAATGTAGCTAACAAAATTATACTTACATTAGCTTCAGAATTGTTGATGTATTTGCTTAATAAAATAAGGCATCTTATCAAGGAATCATCACATGATGCGATCTACTTCTTACTTGGATATTATTTATTGAATTATATTAACCTATTGAACTGATGGAAATGCCTATTTAGTGCCATTAAATATGAGAATAGACATGCTCTGAATAAAGGAGTTGATTATACTGATCTAAGCATTGGTTAATAATATGGTGGGGAAGCTATTTCCATTTCATAGTCTGTAAAATTAATTCCTTAACCTTCCAGCTATGATGAAAAATCTCATTCTGCATTTTTTCATTATTAATGTACTCTCATGCTTATTATCATGAAATTTTATTAAATATTCTCAACTTTTATTTATTAAATCTCCAATGCAATAACCATTAGCTTTGCTCACTGAATAACAAGTAATTTAGGACAAATGCTAAAAGATATTTAAATATAAATCTATGGTAACTGTAAGAGTGATTGGAATTTCTAAACATTTTTATGTTAAAATCTGCTCTAATTCAATTGAAACTAATAGAACTAAACTGCTTGCTATTGGCTTACGTATAACAAATTAATTAATTAGCATGATATGCTTTTTTCAGTAGTTTAAAAATGTGTTCTATTTCCCTCAAAATACTATATTCTTCTTCCATTTAAGGATAAATATGAATGCCACTAGGCAACAGAAGCCTACAAATAAAATAATCTTTCAGAACAAAAACAAATGTGTACTTAACAATTTTAGGCATCTATTTTTGATAAATTTCTGCATATGCAGCAAAAACAACATTTGTGAATTGGGATTAAAATATTAATTTAAGATTAAGTGGAAATTCTGCTCATCTTTGATGAAAAGGCTCATTTTACAGATTTCTCTGAAGAGTCCAAGAGGAAGAGGAAAAGTAGTAAATGTAAGTGATCATAAAGGAAAGCCCCAAGCTAAAATATATGCGACAAATCTCTAGGGTAGTTGTATTTTCAAGTACTGTAGAAGCAGAAGTCTGTTCTGAGGAAAGAAGAAGAATGTTCATTCTCATTTTTCTCCAATTTATGAGGAGAAGGAAACTACTTCATTAAAATTTAATTTAAAATTAAATCCCAGATAGAGAAAAAACCATAGAAATGAGTTGAATTCTAACCCACTGAGAACCAAGATGACAATGATTTAAAAAAGAATATGCTCTTATGAAAGTTCTCACGTGTTCTTATAGCATTTATCATCTTTCTAGCCAAATGTACTTTATGAATACAAAGGCTAACAATTCGTATTGACAGGAGTTAAAAATAGGTAACTGGGGGACATTAAGTAGTAAGAACAAAATGCTTGACCTTCCCTTGTTTGTCTTGTTTATCTTCTTTAAACTATGTTTTTTTTTTCCATTTGCACTTTTGGAGCTGTTGAAGTGCCAATTTTCTAAGTGATTAGTTTCCTTAGTACTATACTTATCCAATAGAGAAATCTTTCCTTCTGAAACTGTTTTTCCAATAAGATGAATAGGTACATATAAATATGTGTAATGCGATTGTCAACTGCATGGGGCCAAAAGAATTCTGTACTCAAAATCCTGATGAAGCTTCATCGACACTTACTTCCCTGGAACAGTTATAACATTTCCATTGGTAATGAAATATATATATATAATATATAAAATATATAATATATTATATATAAGATATATAGAATATATTCTATATATCTTATATATAATATATTCTATATATCTTATATATATAATATACATATTTATATATTATATATATAATATATTCTATATATCTTATATATAGAATATATTCTATATATCTTATATATAATATATTCTATATATCTTATATATATAATATACATATTTATATATTATATATATAATTTCAACATACATATACAGAGAGTCCTCTTGCAGTGATTCAACTTAACAATTTTTTGACTTTCCCATGGTTGCAGAAGCCATACACATTTAGTAGCGAGCAGTGGGATCCTCTCTCTCACTGTTCTGGGCAGCAGCAGTGAGCTGTAGCTGTCACTCAGCCACATGATCAGCCACATGATCAACAGATATACTACAGCGTACTGTTGTTGCCAGGTAACTTTGCCCCAGTCTAGGCTAATATAAGTGTTCTGAGCACATGTAAGGTAGGCTAAGCTAAGCTATGATGTTCAATGTGTTGTTTCTTGCAATATCGTCAGCTCACATAGGTTAACCTCTTTGTAATTCAAGGAGTGTCTGTATATAATTATGTTTTTAAGTTAAGGTTAATATGTCAAGATCATATAACTTAATTGTTTTCTGATTAGAGTCTAACAGGTAGTTTCAGGGAAAAATAAACACTTATTTACCTTTGTAAGCATTACAAAAATTATTGTGAAGACCATTGTGCTAAAATCTGTTCTATAATAAACTGTGACCTTTCATGTGAACACAATGTTTTAATGGGTTTGTCTTCTAAAGGTGTTTGAGACTCCAGTGTGAGCCAAGCAGTATGTTGGAGATTAGGTAAACAAAGTGGCAATCAGGCTCCTTTAAAGTTCAATGTCTGACAAAATGTATATACCCATTCCCATAGGACGGTCAAATGTTTGGGTTAATAGCATTATTTTAAATATTAAATTTTTGATAGGACTCCTGAAGAAACTTAAAGACTCAAGACAACACTTACAAAGATAACATTTAAAAAATACTATCAGATTCTAGTAATGTCTATGAAAACATCATCTCCTTCAGTAAGCACTGAATCAGTTTTGTATAGTACCATTTACTAACTTGACCAATTGTCTTCATATTCACAAATCAATGTTCTCCCATTTTCTAGAGATCATTTGTGCCTTTACTTCAGGTAAACTCTCTATGCTTCTGAGAGCCTTCCCAGGGGACTACTGAAACTACAGAAATTCCAAGATACTCTTCTTTGGCCTCTAAGAGTCATGGAGAATGTGGTGAGGGGTAGCATTAAGGAGTCAGGAGAGAGCCTCCCTCTTTAAAAGTGCAGCAAACTATAGCAAGGACAAAAAACCAAACACCACATGTTCTCACTCATAGGTAGGAACTGAACAATGAGAACACTGGGACACGGGAAGGGGAACATCACACACGGAGCCTGTTGTGCCGTGGGGGGAGGGGGGAGGGATAGCATTAGGAGATATACCTAATATAAATGACGAGTTAATGGGTGCAGCACACCAACATGGCACATGTATACATATGTAACAAACCTGCACATTGTGCACATGTACCCTAAAACTTAAAGTATAAAAAAAAAAGGGCAGTCTTATTCCACATTGTTCTTACCATCATGGGCGGTTTCAACAAGTATCAAAGCTTTCAATACCTAAACATTAGTGAAAACTGCCTCCAAAATCATGTTCATAGGAAACATGTCAGATTTCCCCCCAAAAGATTCTCACTATGCTCTGTTCTGCTCTGATTATAACAATAGTGCAAATCACTTATTCGAGAGCTTAGCAAAGTCTAGTTAAGTGGAGAAAAGAAGCTGAATTTCATTTTCTAAAAGATATCCCACAACGGTTTTGTGAATAATGTTTGCTTTTTTTGTAGCAATCCTTCACCTGATTTTGGGATTTAGGACTGGGGTAGATTGAAAAAATGGACACAGATTCTCTACAACCTCTCCCACCCAAAACTGTTGTCTATTCCCTCATCCCTTGAGGGAATCTGAGCTAATTTGCATTAACCCTATAGACTAGGAAAGAAGTAATCTGTGCCAGTTCTGAACCTCAAGAGGACCTTTAGCTTCTGCCCTTGCCCCAAGAAACATTCCTCCACCATGGGAACAAGCCTGACTAGCTTCCTGGAGGATAAGAATTCATACTTATGTAAAGAGAGACTCTTAGCTATTACAGTTAATGCTCTAGAACTATCATTAAGCCCAGAAAATATTATCTAAGTCAATATGAGAAGGGCCACCCATGAAAGCCTAGGACAAATTGCCGATCCATGGAATGTGATCCAAATGAAATGGTTGGTTTTGTGCCACTACATTTTGGAGGGACTTTTTATATAGCAACAGATAGCAGAAGAATGATTTCCTCTCCTGCACATTGAGGAAGAGGATCCAAATACCCATTTTCCATGAACACTATATTTTTGTAACCTCTGACATTTCATGGTTAACCCCTTGCTTCTTTATAATATTAAGCATGTACAAATAGATGAAGGAAGATGCCTCAGGATTGGAAAGCAGAGACATTTTAGGGATATTTTAGTGAGTCTGAAAAAAGTTTTTAATGACACATTTTTGCCCTCATATTTAATTCATCAAAACAAAAAGATGTCATATTCAACATGTTCAATGTGTTTAACTGAAGAAAGAGATTCTATATGAAAGAGTTTACAGAATTAAGAGAACCAACAAAGAACAGTGAAGCACCCAGGGACCAGTGACAGAAGGCTTTCCCCAGAGTCCCGAAAAATAAGGAGAGAAGCAGTGTTTCAAGAACAACACTGGAGTATGGTCCTTAGTCAGGATCTGCGGCAGAGGAATCAGCCTAATACCTTACTCGCGGAAGCAGAGACAACAATATATTGCCCTTTCTCCCCATTTGCTCTCTTATCTACTGGCGTTTCCCATTGGTGAAACCCTATGGGAAACTTAAAGACAAGAAAGTCCAGTGACGCAGTCTATAGATTTTAGGAGACAGCAGCATGTAGCTTATCAACAGAGCAGATTAAAGAAACATAGAAAATGGATCTAGAAAGAACCAAAAAAAAAAAAAAAAAAGAGCCAGTAGGGATCTTTTAGGAGCCCATGGTGAAAGTCCTATCCAACTTCATCACACTCTATACATATAAAAATGTTTACTGTGTGATCTTAGGTACTGGGCATTGTGTTGGGTATTTTTGTTTATATATACATTTATTCATTTGAAAATACTTTGAGGTTGCTGTCATTTTTATCTCTATTCCACAGTTGAGGAAACAGAAACACAGAGACGTATTTGGCCACAAAGCTAAAAGCAAGAAGATTGAGGATTTAAAAGAAAGACACTGTGGCTCCAGAATGTATGATTTGATTGATCCTTTGCATTGTGTTCAAAGGATTGTGTGGAATCATTGCTGTTGAAATAAGGCTAACCAACCTAAAATACATAGCACTAAGAAGCACCACTGAAGTTCAAGGTCTTATATTAAAGTAGATTGTCAAAAAGAACCCGAGAGAGATACGTGCACGACTTCCCTATTATTCTCCACAAACACTGAGCAGGCTCAGCCAGCAGGGCCCAGGGGCACATGCTTGTTCAGAGAGGAAGAGACCCCCATGCTCTTTGTGCCCTGAGGATTCTGTAACAGTTCTTCCTTAAAACCCAGAAGCAAACTCTAACATAGTGCTTTGTACTAAAACTTGTTTAATGCATACCTAATAGCTGTTCAGCCAGCTGATCATTCTATTGACCTAAAATACATGAGTTCCGTCTCCTACTTGGATTCTGAACAAGCTGAAAAATTTTTTGTCAACTCTTTCCAAAGGATCGAATTCTGGAAAACGTTCTTCTAATGCAAGGTAGACAATAAAACAACCTGAATATGATATTATAGGACTGTGATTTGCTCAAAAGATTTTAAATAAAGTTGTCATGTAAGTTATAAATCAAAGGATAATCTAAAGTGAAAACAACTTCAAATTATTTTTGCAGGATAATATTACCAAAATACTCAGTTTGTATAAATCCATATGATTTCAATTTTCATAAGAAATTTGGAAATTTAATTTATTCTCAATTCTTATTTAATTTGTTCTCAATTCTAAATGTCTGGGATAGAATCACAAATTTCTCTATTAATAGTAACACCATTCTGATTAATCAAACATATGTAGAAAAACAATTTTTTTACACGTACAGACATCTATTGTTATGAAACATTTTGTAGGTCAAATTTTATAATTATGCAATTATTCCATAGTTCAAAAAGTGCTGTACTTAAGACAAAAAGGGTCATTTTGGAAGTATTAGATCTTAGCACATATGGCAATCACTTTTTCCTATTAATAAGCGTAAAAAAATGTAAAGGTAATTGGCTTCCTAAAATTTGAGAGTTAATAAATCCTCATGAAATGTGATTTTTTAATGATTTAGTTGAGTTTTGTACTTTATTCATCTTGGCAGTCTTCCTGTAGAAAATATGAGAAAGAAAAAACCTATATGTCTAAAATAAATGATTCCTACTTCTTGGTAATAGGTTGTCTTTTAAAATATAGTGACCAACAATAACATAAGGAAAATTCAAGAATTTCAAAAGTCAGCTCAATTAACATCCTAAGATGTGTACATTTCCCTTCATTTTTCAGAATTTAATGCATTAGATCCGTTCAATATTGGCTTTAAATGCACCAGCTCTGTAACTTCATTTTATTTAAATTCAGCATCTCTCTCACTAGTGTGTTAGGTCCGGGAGAGTAGAAATCAAATCCTACTTGTTCATTTATCTTTAGGTCATAGCACATGCCTATGCTCCAGAGTCAGTTAATATCATATATATGACGTCATATATATGATATAGATCATATATATGACGTCATATATATGATATATATCATATATATACACCTATATATATGCACATACATAAACTGAGATATATATGTAAACTGAGATATATATATAAACTGAGATATATATATATATAATCTGAATAATAGATATTTAGGGTGAATAACCCTTGTTTTAAGAGTGGAGGATATTAGAAATATCTTACCAAATAAAAGTTAGAGATTGTTCCAAGTGATGCTGAAGAGAGAAAATTAAATGAGGGATAGCAGTCTTTCCAAAGGAGTTGTCTCCACTACAAAGAATCATGAATAATAATGATAAAGTCAAAGCTCACCTTCTTGTCCTTTATCAGTGAGACAATTAACAAAAGGGCAATAAATGGGAAAAAAAATCTGTGAAGATCTCTCTTAGCAACTGTGCTTATAGGATCAGTGAACCAATGCCTGGAGAAGGTTTGCTATTCTGGGACACAATGGCAAAAATATTTCATTTAAATGAAGAAGATATTGGGAGAAGATCATGTCTCTGAGAGGCTCCTGAATGGCAACCCTGTTAAATAATATCTCTTTTTAGGAAAAAAGACATGAGTAATTGACCATGGAGAAAATGGTTTTCTTGATTTTATATCTAAAGAACACTGTTTCTCTAAATCACTAGAATGAATCACCAGTTGGCATTCATTGCAGTCATATACCAGTGAGAGCAGATGGAATATAAAATGGTATGAAACATATCTACTGAGAAAACAAGCATTTTAAAAGTTAATGAAAGACAAAACAACAAGGGCATAAAGTAGGCCTAGTGAATGTTAATGTAATGACAGCAGAGAGTACCCATACACTTTTAATGAGTATTTAAGTGCTAAATAACAATAATATACTAATAAAAGTACCTATAATGCATTTATTATTTTTCCAAGCATGAAGCTAAGCACTTTAGGTATGTAATCTTACTTGATCATACATTTGAGAGGTGTACTATTTTTAAACCTACATTTTTGATAAGATAAATGAGGCTCAGGGAGGTTAAATAAAACTTAGAGAGGGGCAGGTCAAGGATTCAAATTCAGAAAATCTCATCATGATATGGATATTTTAGCTCACAAATGTTAAGCTATATCAATTACATTAAATGAGCTTTGATTTCTGGATTCTTTGTATTAATGAATAGTTATATAATGAAAGAATATTTTGGAATACTTGAAATTGATTAACTCAACAAATATTTCAGTGTCTAATATATGCCAGGTACTTCGGGGAGTGGAAATAAAACAATAAAAAGAGGCAGAAAGAGAATAACAATCTACCTCATTCTTCACCTTCCCTAAAGGTACTTATTATTATAGTGGATAATATTCAATACTACTTACTGAGCATTTACAATGGCTTTGCCACTATTCTATGTTCCTTAAATTTATTAATTGATTTAATCTACCAATGAGGTTGATGTTATTATTAGAGACATTTTTTGAGATGAGCAAACAGGGACAGAGAGATTAAATAACTTCTCACAGTTAATAAATAACAAAGCTGGTTATTTTCCCTAGACAATCTGCCTCCAACTTCTGCAGATATAATCACTATATTATAATTCAGGAATATTCTATCAGAAGACCAGTCTAGCTTCCAAACTGCAGATTTTATTCAATCCCAAAATTTGCTTGCTTAAGGATTCATTATATCATGGAGTCTAAAGATGAAAATAGTGCCTGAGGGAGTTAAATATATTAGTATATAATGGAAAAATAAACAGGCCTCAAATCTCAAGGAGAATAGTGAAGCTGAAGACCATACAGAACAGAGTTTTCAGCTGTCAGTCATTGGAAAAAACTGAGATGGACACTGAGTTAATACATAAAAGAAAATGAAATTTATATCATTTTTAAGTAACTAAGTTATTTTTGGATCTTTCTATTAGAGACTAATTTTATCATAAACCCTCCCAAAATTATTATGAAATAATTCAGATCAAGTCTTCTAATTAGAAAAAGATATAACTAACAGTATCAAAGATACTGTTTTGGAAGAAAAAAATGGAATCTAGCTTATCCATTAGCAATCCTCCAAATACTCAAAAATATTGAATCTAGGTTATCCATTAGCCATCCTCCACATATAGAATAGAAACAATTTTAGATTTGGGAACATCTACCAAATTTAGTCCTTAGGATCCTCATGCCATTAAGTGAAATGCCTCATACTTGGCAAATTCTATACAGAAATCTAGCCAAGACACCTAATCTCCTACTCAATCTGCTATCTCCCAGCCTGTTTATTTATTCTAATATCAGAATATAGACCAGTTTCTCTATTGAATTCTTCATAGGACATTCCTATTTTCTCTTGTAATATGTGCTGCATCTGTGAAAATGACATGATATTCATTCAATTCTGATTTTGATCCAGACTCAGATCATTTATCAAACCCAAAAAGCTAGAAAAAGGGCAGAGTTTAATTATTGATTCCCACAGCCAGATCTTGGTTGTGCGTATTTTAAAAAACCAGGGGTATTTTTAATCATAAGTATTAAGTGAACTATTTATGTAAATTTTCATCATTATATAAAAAGAGACTCAAGGATCTGAAGATAAGCACTACTGATATTCACTTGACTTTGCTCTTAAATTTTGAGGCCAAAAACATAGTAAGAGCAGAAACAATAGATAGTACACACATCAAAACTCAGAACTTGTTTTATGGTCTAATACCCTCAGCTACTCCAGCCAGAGTCTTCTGTGGATTAATCATTTGCTATAGAGGTTAGTCCATCAAATCTTTTGATCATTTTCTTCCTCACCTGCTAACTAATATTCTTGACCTTCCCAGGTGTGGATCACAAAAAAATTAACAAAGAAAGAGGAGATAAGAAAGTTGGCACCTGAAATGTAGTGCTGTAAAATAACTCAGCTCTTCGTTCCGTGTAGTCTGCATCTTGTACATGTAAACAAACACATACATTATCTTGAAACTTTCTGATTAAGGATTTCCTTCCTAAATATAGCAGATTCTTCCTATATCACAGCACTTTCAAAGAATCTCATCAGTATAACTCATATGCCATCTAAATATCATAAGCAAAAGTTATTCCTCACTAATAAATAAGAGAGAAACAACCTTCAAGTCTCATTGATGTAATTCAAGATAAGTGAGGTTTATTTTGTGCTCATTTAACGGTTCTGTGTATTTTTACTGAAAGTGATTTTCTGCACAGCAACTCAAGAACTCAACTGATCCCTTCAATCTTGTAATTACAACATCCTTTGCATTTGGCTTGTAAGCAAAAGAGAGAGAGAGAGATGGAGATTGAAATAGAAATAAGGAGAGAACAAGATAGAGAGATAATTAAAGAGTGAGAGGGAGAGAAAAATAGAGTTTAGTATGGGGCTTTTTTGAATAGGCTGGAAGTGTTATACCTAATTCCCTTCCACATTAAGGTGGCCAAAATGCAAACACATAACCACATGTAAGGGAAGATGGAAACTATAATCTAGATATAGTTTCAGGAAGAAGGATAAATGATTTTTCTGAATTAGTAGCCAGAATAATAGCTATTCTCTGACAAACCCGGACAAGTGTTTCTCCCAAACTTCAATGACTTCAGTCTCTCTCTCTAAATAGCATCTTCCATTTCTTTCTTTTTGCAAGAAAAATGTCTGATAATTTCAAAATAGAGCACTCCAAATATTTCTGCAAAAATCCATGCTATTAAGTCACTTTTGAAATCTTAATATTTTAGTTTTGGTCAGAGATCTCTGACGGAAAGATTCTAGAGTCGCATCAGAGTTTCTAGGGCAACAATTCTGACAATTTGTCTTTGGGGATGACCCTGCAGTTTGAGATGCAGCATGAGTCATATCATAATGCCTTTCTATAGAACTTCAAAAGAGAAAATTATGTTTAAGTGATAATGAGGACAATAAGTAAGATTGGAGAAACTGAAGACGTAGAAAGAACTGAGATGGAAGAGAATTCCAAGAAGACAAGAGTCAATGGAACTCACTGTATAGTTTGAGGCATTTTTTCAAGTAGGAGATGAGTGAAACAAACTGATGCAAGTACAAACAATTTTGCTGAAATTCTGATAAAAATTTTAGTGAGTTTCTATTTAATGAAATGTGGTTTACTGCTAACTGAGGAGTGCTAGAAATGGAAAATTTGAGGAAAATAATTAAGTTTGAAACAGCTGACTAGAATTTCTCAAATTATATTTCAAGGAGTATCCATCTTGCAAGTTGCATTAAGAAAAAAATATTCTGTGGTTAAATTTAGGAAGCATTATCTGCATATTCAATAAAAATTCTCAGAATAGCATCTTACAGCACCTGATTTTGGTGCTGTAAACTGTCACATAACCAATTGTTTAACCTAGTGATTCATTTAAAACATTTAAAACTATAACTTTCTTTGGCCATATTTAAATGCCATTGAATTTAGCATTTCATATAAGCCACATAAGAGAGCATAGGCTTTATCACATATTTCTCAAGTGTTAGCGATTGTTATGACATTCTCAGAATAAAAAGATTGATTATGTCCACTCAGTTTGTTCTCTCTCTAGACATATAACCATCAAACACAATTATCTCAAGTCTTAAAACTTAAAGCTGAACGGCATGTGTATGATTGTGAACTGACTTTCGGTTCTGCTGTGAAACCATGTTAGCAGGAAAAAATATATACCTATAGGTTATGGCAAGGACAAGCTTATTTTCCAACACCTAAGAGATGTATGCTTACTTCTGACCACCAAAAGCCATAGTCATATTTTTTGTAGATATGATTGGAAAACATTTACTCTTTTCCCATGTGGTGAGTTTATCAGAGGCTCATGGTGAAATGATTACACATTACATTTCAGAGTGGAAGATAATGGGGACCAAAGGTAGGAGCCTTTGGTTCACAGAATTTAAAGTTCACAGAATTTTATGACTATTTATTTAAGTAAATGTTCCAAATGGATAATTTAAGAAATTAAAGGATTTCTTCAAGTCCAACTGAAAGAAAATTTTCCCCTAAAGTGTGCATTAGTTCTACATAAGGTCAACTTAATAGCATAATTTCCAACCTCATCTAAATTCAACTTTTTTTATATAAACTCAGCAACTATTCAATTACCCCAGAAAGGGAATAGTGGGAATTTGTAATATTTAATTTGATATCATCTTAAATTATTATTTCCTTCTTCTAATTCTTAGAACCATGTAATATATCAATTAGCACTGTAAAAATTATTGAGTTTCAAATACTTGGATCAAGTTTACAATAAAACTCAACATTTATTGTTCCAGGTGCCAGCCTGACATTATGTGTAAATAAAATAACTGTTTAAAAATAACTTAAATTTTACAGATGAAATAAGGAAAATACATATTAATCTCTCTAATCAATAATCCCAGGGCCAAAAATATGCTCCAAACTGAAAACAAAGTTGTTATTTCTCTTTAAGTGTTTATTCTATGGCAACAAAGACAGTAACAACATTTAAGGTGATCATCTAAGCTTACTTCAACGCTATCAACATATACTCCCTTCTTAAGTCAAATTTATATTTACATTTATATTTATTATCATATGAAATATTATGTTATACATTTTGTGTATAAATATTACATATATATGTACACATACATATTTTCAAAGCATCATGATAACATGCTAAATGTGTAGTCATCCAATTTTGTCTCAAGATATTTACTAGGGAGCTTGTAAAATGGTATATTTAAAGATGGCTTTTTAGAAATGTCTGTCTTCTTTTTGATCCATCTTCATTCAAATTGTTCTTCTGTTTCTTTATTGACTTCAGCCACTTCCTGTGTGCTTTGAAAGGGGTCTCTCTGCAATGCCTCCCTCTGAAACAAACCAATGTGTAAGAATTACTAATTCTATTAAAACTTTGTTGTACTCACTGAGAAAATTTATATAAGTTCTCTATATCCTTTGCTCTCTTTTCCCCCACATTTTTTTTTTCTTTTCTGCTCTTTGAAGATTCTATTTCTGCCATGTCAGTCTCTCTTTTCTTCTACTTCCACCTCACTTCTTGTATTACTAACATCAATGCAAAATAGACTCTCCATTGTGTAGCATGATCTCTTTTTAACTTTACTTTTGGGTCATCATTATTTTACCCCTTTTTGCACCGTAGGAACATTACATATTTGTTCCAGGATTCTATATTTGAATTTAAAAATGTTCTTTGACAAAATACAAGAAGGATAACCACAACCTCAGCAAAAAAAAAAAAAAAAAAAAAAGTTCCTCCTCTGCCTATGAAGCTCCTGGTTATCTCACTCTGAAGTCCCAATTAAAGCCCCTGGCAAGGTCAAATAAGCCATTAGAGTAGGGGTAAGTAGGAACTGGAAAAATAACACGTTTGCTTCTAACTTTTTATGGTCTACCACATATAAATTTAATTGGTTGGTACAGCAGAATTTTAGGTTTGAAATGGCATATGGCTCTACCCATCAGAATTCAATAACGCTCTTTTCTGTTTTTAGGTAAATGTAGTCATAAGCATTAAACAAAAGGCTCTAGTACTGCATATATGCTAATACAATTAAGGAGGCAGAATTATTCTTGGAAAAATGTGGTTAAAGACTTTTGTGCTTTGTAACACTTGAAGAAGCAAGGGAACAGAGGCAGTTTTAAAAGTTCCTGGAGACATTTTTAGGAATATAAGAATTTAATAGATTTATTTGTTTAGCTGATATCCTTGCCTTGTTGGTGCTTAGACAAGTATTTAGTTTACCTGATGATTAAATCTGCAGAGTCTAGAATAAAGAGCATCTGGAATTCCTCTGTTAAGTATAGTTTAAAACTATGCCCTCCAATCATAGCACTTGTTTTTCTATGTAGAAATTAAATGATGTTGTTCTCTGTAGTCAATTATATCTTGTCTTTTTCATTCATTTTGTATACCTATTACTTGATGTGATGCCAAACACATGATAAGCTCATATAATTATTTATTTATATCAGAAAATATTGAATAAAATAGAACCTTGAGATTTTACAGAAGAATGTAAAGAAATTGCAATAGTTCACTAGGGGAAAAACAATAATTAGCCATTTTTTTTTCCTATACAAACTGCTATAGATGGAATGCTTATATCCCCGCACGATTCATATATTAAAGCCTGATCTCCAATGTAATGGAACTTGAAGTTGGAGATGGGATCTTTGAGAGGTAATTATGTCATTAAAGTTTAGCCCTCATAATCGAATAAGGGCCCATA
Organism: Homo sapiens; assembly: GCF_000001405.40. Taxonomy (NCBI): domain Eukaryota; kingdom Metazoa; phylum Chordata; class Mammalia; order Primates; family Hominidae; genus Homo; species Homo sapiens. The sequence continues at coordinate 26,857,013 of NC_000005.10, read as the reverse complement.
ATGGAATAAGGAAAGAAAGGAAAGAACCTGCATGTCCTATGTTCTCTCTCTCTCTTTCACACACACACACATACACACAGAGAGTGAGAGAGAGAGAAAGACAGAGAGAGAGCAAGAGAGATCTAGTTTACATATTTGCCCTTCTTAGTTTCATGTTGGAATTTGAGCCCACCAATGTTGGAGGAGGGGCATAGTGGGAAGTGTTTGGATTACAGCAACAGATTTCTTAGGACTCGCTTCCTGCCCTCCCCATGGTAATAAGGGAGTTCTCCCTCTATTTGTTTACATAAGATCTGATTGTTAAAAAGAGCTTGGCACTTTCTCCCCCTCTGTTGATCCCTCATTTACCATCTGACACACCTGCTCCCTGTTTGCCTTCTTCCATGATTGTAAGCTCCCTGAGGCCTCATCAGAAACAGATGTGGGCAACATGCTTCTTGTACAGTTGTCAGAATCATAAGCAAAATAAACTTGTTTTCTTTGTAAATTATCCCATCTCAGGTGTTTCTTTATAGCAATGCAAACCAGACTAATACAAATACAAGCAGTTGGTACCAGGAGTGGGGTGCCTAAAATTGTGGAAGTTGCTATGGACCTAGCTAATGGACAGAGGTTGGAGAAGTTTGGATGGCTCAGAAGAAAGCAGAAAGATAAAGGAAAGTTGTAACTTCTTAGAGAATGGTTAAGTAATTGTAACAAAAATGCTGATATATATATTCATAATGAAGTCCAGGATGGTGAAGTCTCAGATAGAAATAAGGAATTTTTTTTTTTTTTTTGGAAATAGAGTAAAGGTCACCCTGTTACACCTTAGTAAAGAACTTGGCTGTATTATGTACATACTTGATGACTTCTTGGAAGACTGAACTTAACAGTGATGACTTGGAGTATCTAGTGGAAGAAAATTCTAAGCAGCAAAGTGATAAAAAATGGTCTGGCAGTCTATGAACAGATATGGGAGCAAAAAATGACTTAAAATTGAAACTTGTAATTGAAAGAAAAGCAAAGCATAAAAATTTGGAAAATTTACAGGCTGGCCATGTGGTTGAGAAGGAAAGAGCATTTTCAGGAGAAGAATCCAAACAGCCTATGGAGCCACTACTTTCTAAAGAGATTAGCTTAACTAAAAGGCAGCCAAGTGCTAATATTCAAGACAATGAGAAAAAGGACTCAAAGTTATTTTAGGAATATTTGAGGCCATCCCTCTCATCAGAGGCCCAGAGGCCTAAAAGAACAGACTGGCTTCAGGTGCCAGGCCTGGGGTGCCACTGCCCTGTGTTGCCTCAGAACACTGCTTCCCGCATCCCACCCACCACTCTGCCTCCACCCTTAGCTCAAAGGGCCCTAGGTATAACTCAGGTCACTGTTTTGGAGGGCATAAGTCTTGACAGTTTCCATGTAGTATAGATCCTGCAGGCACACAGAATGCAAGAATAAAGGAGGCTTTGCAGCTCTCAGCTAGATTTCAGAGGATGTATGGGAAAGCCTGGGTGCTTAGGCAGGGGAGCCCCCACAGAGATACTCTGCTATATCAATGCCAAGGGGAAATGTGGAGTTGGAGCCCTCATACAAAGTCCCCAGCAGGGCATTGCCTAGTGGAGCTATGGGAAGGGGACCACCTACCTCCAGACCCCAGAATAGTAGAAACACCATCAGTGTGCTCCTTCAGCCTGAAAAAGCCATAGGCATTCAAACCCAAACCATGAGAGCAGTCACATGAGCTATACTCAGCAAAGCCATAACAATGGGGCTGCCCAATTCTTTGGAAGCCTACTCGTTACACCAGCATGTGGGGCATGCAGTCAAGGGAGATTATTTTGGAGCTTTAATATGTAATGTCTGCCCTGCTGAGTTTTAGACTTGCATGGGGTCTGTTGTCCCTTTCTTTAGGCCAATTTCTACCTTTTGAAAATGTAATTTCTCTTTTTTCATCATCATTATTTTATTTTCCTTTTTTGATATATATTTTTATTACAATAGTTTTGAAGGTCAAGTGGACTTTGGTAACATGGATGAATTGTATAGTGGTAAAGTCTGAGATTTTAGTGCACCTGTCACCCAAGTAGTATATGTGGTACCCAATATGTAGTTTTTTTTTTTCCCTAATCCCCCACAATCCTCCCTACTTCTGAGTTTCCAATGTACATTATGCCACTTTGTATGTATGCCGTTGCCTACCCATAGCTTGTAGGTGAAAACATATAGTATTCAGTTTTATTCCTGAGTTATTTCACTTAGAATTATGGCCTCCAAATCCATCCCTTGCTGCAAAAGACATTATTTCATTATTTTTTATGACTGAGTAGTATGGAATGGGAATTTCTACACAATGCTTTTACTGCCATTGAATCTTAGATGTTAAAAGCATGCCTGCTCCGCCTTTGCTTTCTGCCATGATTATATACTTCCTGAGGCTTCACCAGCAGGAGATGCTGGCACCATATTTCTTGTACAGTTGTCAGAACCATAAGCAAAATAAATCTATTTTCTTTATACACAGCCCAGGCTCAGGTATTTTTATAGCTATGCAAAGTGGAGTGACACACACACACACACACACACACACACACACACAGAGCCATGATGTGAGGACAACGCAAGATAATGGCCAGCTGCAAATCAGAAGATTGCCTTCACCAGACAGCAGATCTACCAGCACTTTTGTCTTGGAATTCCCAGCAACCAGAACTCGTGAGAAAAAAAAAATATATTGTTTAAACTATCTAGTTTATGGTATTCTGTTATGCCTTCCAAAATGACTAAAACACAAACACATCCTAACTATATTCTGGAGTCAGTTTAACGTTTGCATTCTTCTAAACACACTTGGATGATATGATGTGACATGTTTATAAAGAACCAAACTTGGTGTCACAGACACGGATGGCTGCAGTGGAAACGGTGAGTAGCAGTAAAAAAAAAAAAAAAAAAAAAAAAAAAAAGAGGGATAAATTTTAGTGGAACAAACAATGGTATTTTCAATGTGTATTGAATATGAGATATGATGAAGTTTCAAAGATGATTCCTTAGATTTGTTCTGAGCAAGTGAAATAATAGAAATGTCTTTTCACTGAGGTTGGTGTACTGCAGAAGGTTTAGTTTTGATAGGGGTTTACAAACAGTTTTTTTGTTCACATTAGGTTTGAAGTGTAATTGAGAAAGTACTTTTCTGGAGTTAAGGAGTAAGATCTATACTTGAGACATAAATTTGAATCTCATCAATATATAAATTATTTTAAAATTCAAGAGACTTAATCAGATAATTATTTTTGTCAAACGCTACTGATGCTTGAGACAGACGAGGAGGTCTTACGCTTTCCATTGGATTTGTCATCTGGAACCCATTAGTAATTCTGACACGAGTTGTGTCAATGGAGTAGTGGGAATTTAATCACTACTGAAGTGTGCGCAAAGGACAAAGAGAGAAGGAAACCAGCACTTATTAAAATTATTTCTTCTATGTGAGGAGCTAATGAAGTTTATACTAATTGGTAGGAGTTTGGAATCTAAAAAGAGTTCTTGAAGGTGGGAAATACTAAAACCAGTGTTTATGTTGATGCAAATGACTCAATAGAAAACGGACTGGTAGGGCAAATAGACTGGACAGTCATCTGGGCACAGTGGCTCATGCCTGTAATTCCAGCAATTTGGGAGGCCGAGGTGGCCAGATCACAAGGTCAGGATTTCGAGACCAGCCTGGAGAAAATGATGAAACCCCCGTCTCTACTAAAAATACAAAACTTATCTGGGCATGGTAGCTCATGCCTGTAATCTCAGCTACTCAGAAGGCTGAGGCAGGAGAATCCCTTGAATCTGTGAGGCAGAGGTTGCAGTGAGCCGAGATCATGCCATTGCACTGCAGCCTGGGTGACAGGGTGAGACTCCGTCAAAAAAAAAAAAAAAAAAAAAACGGAAGGAAGGAAGGAAGAAAGGGAGGGAGGGAGTCCAGAATTTATTCCTTCCGGTGGGTTCTTGGGCTCGCTGACTTCAACAATGAAGCTGCGGACCCTCACAGTGAGTGTTACAGTTCTTAAAGATGGTGTGTCCAGAGTTTGTTCCTTCAGATATTCAGATGTGTGCGGAGTTTCTTCCTTCTGGTGGGTTCTTGGTCTCGCTGTCTTTACGAGTGAAGCCGTAACCTTCGCAGTGAGTGTTACAGTTCATAAAGGTAGCGGAGACCCAAAGAGTGAGCAGCAGTAAGATTTATTGTGAAGAGCGAAAGAATAAAGCTTCCACAGCATGGAAGGGGACCCCAGCAGGTTGTCGAGGCTGGCTCGGGTGGCCAGCTTTTATTCCCTTATTTGGCCCCACCCATGTCCTGCTGATTGGTCCATTTGACAGAGTGCTGATTGGTCCATTTTACAGAATGCTGACTGGTCCGTTTTTACAGAGTGCTGATCGGTGCATTGACAAACCTTTAGCTAGACACAGAGCGCTGATTGGTGTGTTTACAGTCCTTTAGCTAGACAGAAAAGTTCTCCAAGTCCCCATCCGTCCCAGAAGCCCAGCCAGCTTCATAGGAAGGGAGGAAGGAAGGAAGTCAGGAAGGATGGAAGGGAGGAAGGGAGAAGACAGGACAGTTCATGAAGTGATGGTGGAAAAGGGAAGGGATACAGCGTACCAGTGGATATTTTTGCCTTAAATAAGAAAGCAAACAGTGTATTCATTGTGGTGGAAAGGAAGACAAAGAACATGGATTCAGTGAGATTTAATAGACTTGATGGTAGAAATTTTCCTCTCATTCTTTCCATTTTCTTAGTGAAGAAAGCTATTTTGGAATAAGGCAGTAAAAGAAAGTTGTAGGTGATTTAGAAAAGAGGAGAAGATGTGACATAGGTCTCTAAGAAAATGCATCTCTGCCATCAACTGTACTTAATCTTAATCCTATCTGAAGAAAGAACACTTTCCTTTTTACTCTTTCAAGACTTTAAGCTTCACCTCCAAGTAAAATTGACCACCCTTTCCTCTGGGTTATTACTTGACCCTGAATCCTGTGTTCCTCCCATAACACTTTCTAGCACTTCAAATTTATAGTCTCACTCTGAGTGACTGTAAGTGACTCAAAGGTAAGAACTTTTGTCTTATTATTCGTGGTATGCCTGGTGCTTATCATATAATCTCTTTCTACATGTTAAATTGAAAGAACAAACGATACCATATATAATGATGAAGCCTTAGTTAAGAGATAACATTTGAAGCCTTTTTCATAAGGTTCACATATAAGGTGATTCCCACAGCACGATAACTAAGAAACATCCCAAATTACACTACTGATAGTTTCAGAAATCTAGAATATAAGCAACAATGTCTTCAACAATCCATCGAGAGTAATTAAAATACATTTTAGTGCTTTTGATACCAGTGTCTTCACTACTCAGGCAAATCAGTCAAATGTACTTGTCTTGGGTGATGAACTCTATTTTGGCATATATTTGAATCCATATATAAAGAAAAATTGCTATTCAGATAATGCTATTTGTTGCAATTAGACTGTAGTTCAAATTTCAGTATGTCCGTAAGTAGTAAATTGAAGATCAGCACTAATTTCAGAATAAAGAAGGTTTTACTTATTTGCATAAAAGTCATATTTGTGAGTGGATTTTAGGATGTGATTGCATTAAATTAGCTTTAGATGAACATGATTTTAATGACAGTTCTACATTGTCAGACAAAGTTACTTCTTACAAAACAGTTACCTCTAGTCAGAACAGCTTCCATATATAACTCTTTCATTTAAAATACTCTTGGCCGGGCACAGTGGCTCACGCCTGTAATCTCAGCACTTTGGGAGGCCAAGGCGGGCAAATCACAAGATCAGGAGATCGAGACCATTCTGGCTAACACGGTGAAACCCCGTCTCTACTAAAAATACAAAAAATTAGCCGGGCACGGTGGCAGGCGCCTGTAGTCCCAGCTACTCGGGAGGCTGAGGCAGGAGAATGGCATGAACCTGGGAGGCGGAGCTTGCAGTGAGCTGAGATGGCGCCACTGCACTCCAGCCTGGGCGACAGAGCGAGACTCCGTCTCAAAAAAAAAAAAAAAAAAAAAAATTACTCAGCTCCAGATCTATAACAAAGATGGCTACTTGAATCACTCCTGGCAGACTATAGGGTAGATTAGCCCAAATAAAACCAAATGAACTTATGATATTTCCACCCTCATAAGTGGTTATTTTCTGGCATTGCCTGTCCCAGTGAATAACAACTGATTCCACCCAATTATACAAGCAGGAAACCATGCTATCACATCCCTGCAGTCTTCATGATCCAATCCCTCATCACGTCCTGTCAATTATTTTTCTCTTAAATTTTGTTTAAAATCGTCTATTTTCGCAAGCAAGACTACATTTTCACTCTAAGATCTAGACACATAATTAACTTTGGCCCCCTTCAAACCGTTTTATTTATTCTGCATTCAGCAATATTTTTACGAAGTTCAGCTCCTATTTATGTTACTCTGTATGTTTAAAAATAAAATTAAAAACACAAATCAATGTATTCCCATTTCTTTTTTTTTTACATTTTTGGGGAAATTATTTAATATTTTTATTGTCTTGATTAATATAAAATAAGAGATCTAGAGTCCCATTTCCCTTAAGCTAATCAACAGAACATAGAAGGTCTGCCCTCATAGGCCTCTCCAGCTTTGCCTTACAATGCCCTTCCCATTCTCTCCAGACATCAGTTATTCTGTCCTTTTACCGCAAACGTGACATTTCCGTCCAAAATTACTTTCATTATCTCCATATCCTGGGACATTATTCACTTTGCCTCCTCACACATCCTTCTACTTTGTTAAATTGTAATCTTCTAATATTAAGTTAAATTTCACATTTTCCGGGGAGATTTCCTTGACCTGTTTGAAAGGATAAAGTCCTCCTCTTGCACCCTTTCAAGGCTACATCATGTACTGTTTCATCAGAGCTATGACATTTTTATATGTACTTGCATGTTTTTGTGATTATTTGATTGGTTAATGTCTATTTCATTAGAATGAAGCTTTGGGTTGTTAACAATCTTGTGTGGTTTTGTTCACCATCATTCCACCAATGTGCATAGAACCTAGCACATAAAATGTCTTCATTAAACACTTGTTGAAAGAATGACTAAGCAAAAGCACATGGAAATACGAATGTATTGGCTGCAATACTAATGTGTTGACTTGATAGACTATATTATAATTTCCCAAAGACATGGCTATTATAAATGTATGGAAGCATTCTGGTTTTAAACTAACTAAAGCATATTTTCTTTTGCTGTCTTTCTTTATATTTTTACATCCAAAGTGCCAGAGGCAACACTGGAACTAATTGTTCAGAATTGCACAACTAAAGGAGCATTCTGGATTTTTTTTATCTTTAAACAGATTGCAGCTGCTCATATAAGAAAATACATGCTATGTAAACAAAATGAAATAAATTAAAATCAAATACATTTATGTGGATGATATATCTACTTATAGAATAGAGGAAGCATTTATATTTTGAATAATTATTCATAAATCATTATTCATGTGTACACATGGACATAGAGAATGAAAAATTAGATAGTGAATACTTGGAAAGGTAAGGGTATGAGAGGGCAGTAGAAAATGAGAAATCACTTAATGGGTACAATGTACATTATTTGAGTGATGGATACACTAAAACCCCGGTCTTCACCACTATAGAATATAACTATCTAAAAAAATTGCACTTGTACCCTTTAAATTTTTACAAATAAAATATCATTATTCAAAGTCTTTGGTTTTCATGGTATAATTTGAAATAAGACTCTTTTACAATTGTAAGCAATTTCTTATATGTAATCATTTTCTGGATGGTCTTAAAATAAGAAAATATATTGTGTGATATTTAATGAGGGCTTTTCATTGAGGGCTTATTTAATGAAACATTATTTACTATAATGTTTAAATTCTATATACTCTTAATCAATATGAGTTTCACACATAATATTAATAGAAAGGAATATAAAGAAAGTATTTTCTATGATCAAATTTTTCTTAAAACTAGGCTGGGGCACAGTGGCTCACACCTGTAATCCCAGCACTTTGGGAGGCTGAAGTGGGTGAATCACCTGAGGTCAGGAGTTTGAGAACAGCCTGGCCAACATGGTGAAACCCTGTCTCTACTAAAAATACAATAAATAAGCTGGACATGGTGGTGTGTGCCTGTAATCCCAACTACTCAGGAGGCTGAAGCAGGAAAATCACTTGAACCTGGAGGTGGAGTTTGCAGTGAGTAGAGATCGCACCACTGCACTCCAGCCTGGGCGTCAGAGTGAGACTCCATCTCATAAATAAATAAATAAATAAATAAATAAATGTTGTGTAAAGTATATTTCATTCCTAATAATGCCGATGAGTTCTTCCATTTATGTTCTACATTTGTTACCAGTTAAGTAAGATAGCCCCTGACAAAGAACAAGGATAATTCTATTTCCCTGGAGTCTCTGCCAGTCAGTAGCTAAATGGCCCTGGGCAATGCACATTGGCATCCTGAATCTTGGTTTTCTCCTATTTAAAATGAATGTGCTACTTTTGATTATATCTAAGGGAAGCTTCAAGCCATGATTCTCTGCTTTGATTTTCTAATTCAAATAGAAACAGTATTAATGCAGTCTATATTTTTATCCTTGGAGTTTTCTTAACAGGGAAATTAGAGTAGCTTAAAGAAAATCACAAAAGTGTAAGTAAAAAGGATAAGTAGACCTGGGCATTATTTCCCAATTTGAACAATTTTGTTGCTGAGAGATTGTTTCCATGGTATGCATTCTGTCAAAATCTCTCAGAAAAGATGTCTGTATTACCATTATCTGCTTTGACAATATCAGCTGTTAACAATCTTACACTTTCTTTTCAAAACAAAGACTGAAGCAAGGACAAAGCATGAAATGGTGTAACCTCATTACTGTGCCAAAATTTAATTCGAATTCATTATGATTTAGAAACTATAATTTGTGCTGTCTCAAGATGAGACAGTCACTCAGGGATACTGCATTATTATCTTCCTTAGAAACTATTTAAAAAATTCTCTGCAGGGAAGTGAAGACCAGCAAAAATCAAAACCGTGTCTATTTCAAACTAGAGCATGTTTCATCTTTCTATGCATTTGATCAATTTAGAAATTAACTTCTACATCTGCAAGTAAGATAAAATCACGTTTATATTCATATATATGTGTATATATATACACACACACACACACACATTTACAAGCAGGAAGATAAATATTCAGACACATATGTGCCAGAAAGTCAGAGCACACATCATGGAATAAAATTATCCTCTAACATACATTTTTCCTGCTAATAATGAATCACGGATACTCATTCAGAAAAATCAATTGTAGGGGATCGGTCAGAGTGGTGGGAAAAACTATAGGGAAAGGATGCAAACCTTCTGAATGGTCAGAAGGTTCTGCAGAGCCCCAGGGTAGAATAGCTGTAGGTGGTTGTTCTACAACCCTGAGGCAGAGGGCAAGGGGTAGGTACAAAACAGTGTGGAGGAATTTATCTTAAACAGGCTTGTTTACTTATCTTGACCCGGAACTGACTTTTGGTCATCAGCACGCATGACATTCCCTGAAAGGGAACAATAAAGGTTAATTACCTACAGGTTGTGTTGGCTCCAGGTTTTTGGCACTGTGCCTGCACTGAATGAAAGCAAGCCGCTCCAGCTTCTCAGGGCTGCTCTCTGGCCACTAGAGCGGGGCAGTCACCTAGCTGCTCTTACGCTGCATACCTGTGTCTTTGAGTACTCATTTCATCCATCAGCCAAGGTCTGTGGGACAGACCCCGCGGGTGGTGCGCAGTGTGAGGAACTCTGCTGCGGATCGCGAGGGAATCCTAGTAAACGAAAGTGAAGTGACTGTGCAGTAAGTAATTTGTGCCTGCAGGGGATTTCCAAGTTCTAGGGGATTTTAAAGTTAGGATTTCATCATGGGAAAACAGTTATCAGCTCAACAGCAACAGTATATATAGAAATATTGTAACAGCTGCCTTTAGCTATTCTCCCCCGGGGCTCTGAAGAACCTTCCGACCTTGCAGAAGGTTTGCGTCCTTTCCTATACTTTTTCCCACCACTCTGACTGATCCCCCACAATCGATGAAGATTTTAACTTCTCTTTTGACTAGCTAATGGTTCTTTACCTAACAGTTTTAGAGGTTTTGTGTTTGTATGTTTTTAATGTACACTCTTGGAGCACTTTGAATTAGGTAATGTTGTACTCAATGTATTTCTGTGTATTACGTCTATAGCTGCCCCGTGAACAACACATGTTTGAACTGCGAGGGCCCACTCATAAGTGGATTTTCTTCTGCCTCTGCCACCTCTAAGACAGCAAGACCAACCCCTCTTCTCCCTCCTCCTCCTCAGCCTACTTAGAATGAAAAGGATGAGGATTAAGACCTTTATGGTGATCCAATTCCACTCATTGAATAGTAAATATATTTTCTGTTATGATAGTCTTATGATAACCTCTTTTAGGTATTATTTTTTAATTTTTTAGACTTGCTCTTGATCTGCTAGCTTCTGCACTTATTCCCTTGGCTTTTATATCTTGATGCTCACATTTAGTTTTTTGCACATCTCCTGTTTCTTCTAATTTACCAATTCTGTGGCCCTTGCTCTGGTTTATGTTTACTTTGTTTTCTCACTGTACTCATAGCTTTACCTGATCTTTGATTTTGACATTTTCTTAGAGTCTTGGGTGGGAATTTCCCTACTTAAATTCTGGCATATCATAAGGCAGTGGCTAGCCAAAGCCCCAGATTTCACAAGAAGGTAATTAATGTGACATTTTGCCTCAAATAAATGATTCTGGCTGATGCAGTTACTCAATAGGTTGCAGTAAATGAAGACTTTCCTGCTGTCCATTCTCACTCCCTGTACCTAGTACAAAAACCCAGATGCAAATGCTGTATTAATCATGACTTGGCTCAAAATTCAGTTGACAGAACTACACTTCCAACCAGCACAGCCTAGAATCCAATATAAAATTTCAATAAAGTTTCTCTTCAAATTCATTCGTAGGCTTACATATATGCAATAAAGGGTAGAAGAATCGAGAAAACTCTTCTGCAAAGGTAGTAAAGAAATAAAACAGTTTTATTATTGAATACAACCTAAACTAGAATGTGTGGTTCTCAGAAAAGTAGTTATTCATGTGCCACATAAGGATGTTTCAGTCAACAATGAGCCATATATATGATGGTGGTCCTGTAAGATTACAGTGGAGTTATCCTATACAGGTGTACTATTTTTTGTGTTTTATACCATATTTGCCTGTAGATTTTCTGTTTAGATGCTCAAATACTTATCATTGTGTTACAATCACCTACAGAATTCAGTACAGTAACCTGCTATACAGGTTTGTAGCCTAGGAGTCATAAGCTGTACCATCCAGCCTAGGTGGGTTGTATGCTATACAATAGAGGTTTCTGTTGTATATGTGAAAGTACAGTCTATGATGTTTGCACAGTGACAAAATTGCCTAATGATGCATTTATCAAAATGTATCCATGTTCTTAAGCAATTCATGACTGTATATTACCTTCTGATAATGCTTCATTTTTCATGTATCCTAAGGTTATTTGCAAACTGAGTTCATTTAATAAATTGCAGTAACATAAGTAATTATAAAACTCTTTGTAAACCAACACCTTTTCCCTTAAGAATAAATGTCAATTTATAAACATGAAATTTTAAGTGGTATATTATTTTTGTGTATAATGATGGCTATAGTCTGAATGTTTGTGTCCTCCCAAAATTCCTATGTTGAAATCCTAACGCTCAGAGTGATGGTATTAGGAGTTCGGACATTTTTGTTGGTGATTAGGATGTGAGGGCTTTGCCCTCATGAATGGAATGAGTGCTCTTATAAGAAAGGCCCAAGGGAGCTTTCTGCCATGTCCACAATATGAAAACACAATGAAAAGATCACATTTTATGAACCAGGAAGTAGGCTCTGACCAGTGAATCTGCTGGTACCCTGATCTTGGACTTTCCAACCTCCAGAATTGTAAGAAACAATTTCTGTTGTTTATTACCTACCCAGTTTGGGGTACTTTTTTGATATCAGCCAAAATGGACTAAGATAAAAATATAACACATATTTATATGTAGTTTTAAAGGCCTATGTTAAATTATTTGATATGATTATATTCAGTTATATTTGAAACATAAAAGACAACCTGTCATTTAGTCATATTTGTATTACAGGACAATAAAGTGTAATTTAAAAATTTACTAATGTAAAATACTGCAATAAACTATATAGCTATTTGCTGATTTAAAAATTTCCATTTCTTATGGGACCTCAGTACCCATAATGTATGAGTATTTGGCAGGTTGCTTACATGTGGTATTTTATATTTTTCACTCTTTTATTTAAGTGAAATATACTTGAAAAAGCACAGGTGATATTATAAGCAAAAGAATACCTTCAATTCTTAAGTTAGGATGAATCATATAATAATAATTTTCTCCATGACTTGTATTTACCACTGATTTGAACTGTTGTGACATTTTTTATTGCCTTTAACTCAATAGTGCTTCAATTTCTTGAAAATACTTCTGTATAGAAATCTTAAAGTATAAACTAGCATGGACATAAAAAGACAAGACTATTTAACAATAATGAATCAATTAATCACGCAATTACTTTTTCCCAGAAATAGTAGCACCCTAAATTCACCTAACCTTGATTTTCACTAAACACAAGAATCAGATTTTGAGCTCATGCTGATCTTCCGTAAGTATCAACAATACAACCACATTTAAAAATCTATGTCTCTCTTCCTTGGGGCTTGCCATAATGCCATATTACAGGCAACTGAAAGCTTCAGATAAAATATTGATGTTTTCTAACTATTGTCACCTAGTAATATCGAGCTTACATTCATTTCTGAGACTAAGAATCCTATCTCAGAGAAGAATACTGCAGGAATTATAGATGAGAGAGAGGAAAGCAATAATATAATCATTGAGGAAGGTGCTTTGCTGTGATTCAGTGGTGACCTGGTAATATGATCTTAGGCAAGCTATCTCATCTTTCCTTTTCTCAGTCTCCGCATTTGCAAAGAAGAGTTAACACCTGCACTCATAATACATTTGTAAGATGTAGATCATTTCTTCTCCAAATAGAATTTAGCCCTCACTCTGACCTCCACATATGAGCTAATTAACCAGAAGAAACCCTAAAGCCATAATTATACTTGCAAATACAAGGAAAGGATTATTATGCAATTTAGCTGGTTCTGGTCCGCATTACATAGAAATTCATGCAGGCAAATGTGTTTCAAATTAAATGTTTGTTTTTTCAAAATCCAATTTGATGCATATACTATGTAGTCTAGTGTAGTATATAGCTAAACAAACACATCATATATATGCAATAAAACACCAATATTCATGTAAACAGAGAAAATGAACACTACAGATACTTCATACCAATTCATCTGCTTTTGTGTTTTCAAATCAAAAAAATTATCTGGATTTTAGATTTTTTTTTTTTTTTTTTGAGACAGTGTCTCCTCTCTGTCACCCAGGCTGAAGTGCAGTGGTGTGATCACAGCTCACTGAAGCCTCGGCCTCCCTGGGCTTAGGTTATCCTCCCTCCTCAACCTCCTGAGTGCTGGGACTATAGACATGTAGAGATAGGGTGTCATCATGTTGCTCAAGCTGCTTTCAAACTCCTGGGCTCAAGCTATCTGCCCTCCTTGGTCTCCCAGTGTTGGGACTACAAGAGTGAACCACTGTGCCTGTCCTGGTTTAAGAAAATTTGCATTTCACAATATCAGCTAAGCAATTTAGAATTTTGTTTCATGTAGTCAACATATCACAGAGTGAAATAAAAACTTTACCATAAATTTGAAAAGTAAAGCCAGTGATTTTTAGAGAATTCTGTATTTTTGGTGAAAAGTTTTGAATTTATAGGGATTCCTGTTCACTATGTATTATTAAGTTATTATTATGATCAAACAGTTTGAGAAACAATATCTCAGTGGTCAGTGTAAAAGGTCAAAATCTGTGTATGGATAGAAATGAGTACCAAGAACATACATAAGTCAGTGTAAATTACTAAATAAATATATAGATAGTTCCAAGCTGAAAAATATGGTTTGAAGGAGAGAGGAAGAGTAGGAAAATCCAGAAACAGAAATAAGATGAGTGATACAGTGAGGGGGTGGGAGTGGGGCATAAGCAAAATCTTTAAAGGAAGAGGAGGTTGTCATAAATAGAGGAACAAAAATAAAAAAGTAATAGACGTGCCCTGGAAGCATGATTTTTGTTTGTTTTGTTTCCCTGAGTGACAATGTTGTTGGTTGTTGATTTCTGGTTAAACTATACTATGACTATTTAAACTTGATTTAGTAGTACCGTCATTCCATATGCAATACTATAAAAATATGACAATGTGTGATATACTTATGTGAATTAGCTTTCAATGGTTTCTACAGAAAGAAAAAATAAAATAGCATCTTAAATGACTCATTAAATGAACAGAGATCATTTTAAATGTTTGACATTTTCACTGATACATAATGGATCATGTGTAATGATTTAGAAACGTAAATGCGAGGACTCCGGGTGTTTTATGGAAGTGAATGTTTTACACTTTTTAAAAATTCTATTTTGGTGATTAAATATTATGGAATAAAACCAAGATCCTTATTACAGTGGAAATATGTTTCTCCCTTTCTATTTACATGTCATACAAAACTACAAAGTAAAACAAGACATTTAAAGAGAAATAAAATAATATTTGTTTTTAATAAAATATGGAAATGGAAAAATATTTAAAGATGTTTTCATAAATATACAATTGTATCCTCATAGTCTAGAAGATGAAGCACTTAACCTTTACATTTTATTTGTGTCATTGAAAGACACATTCTTTTGATTTATGAAATAAAATTTGACCCTAGCTCATATATCACATACATCATATCCTGAGGGTTATAGGAAACTGACTGCAAGGATCCATCATTATTCAATGTGAATAAAAGGTAATAACACTGACATTTGTAAAGTACACAGCAAGAATCATGTCTACCTTGTAGTATTGCCAATTTTTAAATGGTTCTATATCAAAAATTATCATCCCTTTGTTATACTTCCTTTTGTATTTGTTTTTTTGTGCCTTATAATTTGCTTGTATTGTTTCATTGACCACAAATGTCATTTTGCTGGTTAATAATCTCATGCTTATTAATCATTTGAAACTTTTAATTGGTCTTCAATATTTAACTCAAACTTTCTAATTATGAGTGTTTGCACCAAAGGCAACTCAAAATTAAGTTAAAAAATAGTATACCAATAGCATTATGTTTACATTCTTATAAAATTTCCAGCCTGCATGGTGACTCATGCCTATAATCCCAGCACTTTGGGAGGCCAAGTTGGAAGGACCACTTGAGCCCAGGAGTTCAAGACCAATCTGGGCAACATGGCAAAACCCTGTCTTTACAAAATAAATAAATAAATGAATAAATAAAATGCAATTTCTAAGAAGATGAACTTCAAGTATGACTTTCACCTGATGAGGTTCAGGACACACTACCCCAATATGACACACTGGCATTCAAGAAAAAAGAAGAAGTAGGGAGTCCACTGTCCGCTTTCCCCCACCCTTCTCCCCTGAAGCAGGTCAAAAGATCTTTTTCCACAGGTGGCTTCCCTATATCCAGAAGAAAGAAACAGTGTCATCCTCAAAGACACACACATGTCAACAAACATCTGAACAAACAGGCCTGCTAAGTACCACCAGTTCATTACCATCAGAACATATCTTTTGTCCAATCATACTTCCCCACAACTGACCACTCCTCATCAAATCTGAGCACAGAAATACACAGGGGCTCCTATTTCTCTGGAAACATTTCTGAAGGCTCACATGTCGTGTAAAATTTACATTAAATGAATCTGTACGCTTCTCTCTTTTAATCTCTTTTATTATAGGTGCCTCATCCAGGAACCTGGCCACCAGTGAAGAAAATGACTTTTTCACACCTGCAAACTTTTTGATTCTTTTAATTAAAAATATGAGATTATCTAAATATTGCTTACTACTATTGACAATGTGCTTTGATGAAAGATCATTTTCAATATATCACTAATTAATAGCTTAATAAGAGATATTTTACAACTCTGTTTTGTTAAGAAAACACATTTTTTCATAACAAACTAAACTGTAATCCATTGACTAGGCTTTTATGAATTTAAAATTATTGAGTCTTTGTTAATGAATAATTTTTAAGGAGAAAAAATAAACTGGATGTATAGGATGAAGAGTGGAAAAAACTATTCAGAAGACTTTCCAGGGATCAGTAGCCGCATTATATGTCTACTTATTTTATTTCATTTTAATAACCAAATACTAATGTCATCAATTTCAACATATGTGACGAAATTAAACTCAAAAGGGTGAAATAATGTGTTCAACATTAAAAAGCTAATAATATAGTCCAAACTGAGCAGATCCATGCATGCCTTTACATTTATTAATACTTTTCCAACATGTTAACAATTTTCTCTTTTGAAAACAATTGATGAATTCTATTATGATATTGACCATACCATTTTTACAGTCTCATTAGTTTTTGCAGAATTACTCATCTTTTCTGCCCTTTAAAATTCTTACAATTGTTTTCCAGCCATATATTCTGCCTATAAAAACAAGTCTTAATTCCTAGTGCCATCCAAACCCTCCAATGAGCCGTTGTTAGTGTACATGTGTGACCCCTAACCGACTTGTATTTCCCTTGGGGCTTCAGGACCAACCTTTTGGCAGACTCTTTTGGCTAGCTAAACACCAATAGTTCCCAACTGAGTCTTTTTTTTTTTTTTTTTTTGAGACAGAGTCTCTCTCCGTCGCCCAGGCTGGAGTGCGGTGGCGCGATCTCGGCTCACTGAAAGCTCCGCCTCCCGGGTTCACGCCATTCTCCTGCCTCAGCCTCCCTAGTAGCTGGGACTACAGGCGCCCGCCACCACGCCTGGCTAATTTTTTGTATTTTTAGTAGAGACGGGGTTTCACCGTGTTAGCCAGAATGGTCTCGATCTCCTGATCTCGTGATCCACCCGCCTCGGCCTCGGTGCTCTGTCCATCCTCTGCAGGTTAAAAAGGACAGTTACAAAATCCCTCACCTCTCTTATAGCTAGAGTTGGACACAAGGCCTGATTCTGGTTGATTAAATGCATTGTGTTAGTTGCCTAAGCTATTCACTTTAAAATCAAGTTTTAAATACAAATCTCACATTCCAATGGGCTGCATGCTCTTGATGACACAACAATATATTTCCTGTGTCCCTGATAGGTTAGTCAGAAAGAAAATTATGGAAAACAGGAAAGGGATGTTAGAAATTACATTTTAACCAAGCAGATATTATCATGCATATAATTATTTGCAAAAGTAAGATATTAGTAGTTAATAGCTAATATATGTTTTTAATCATATGGATAAAAGGAAACACAATGATTTTTCAAAAGCATTTAAATTGTCCAAGAAATAACAACAAAGCTCAGTGAATTGGACTTTATTTAGTTTCTTATTGCTGCTCTAACAAATTATCACAAACTGAATGGCTTAAGGCAGCAAAATTTTATTACTATACAATGCTGGAGGTGGGAAGTCCAGAATTAATCTCTGTAGGCTAACGTCACTATGACTTCAGGGCTAGTCTCTTCTGGAGTCTCCAGGGCACAACCCATTTATTTTCTTTTCCGGCATCTGGAGGCCACCTTGATTTCCTAGGTCATCTGATCTTTCTTCATCTTCAAAGCCAGAGGCTTTGCATCTTCAAATCTCCCCCTGCTTTCATAATCACAATAGCTTTCTACTTCTGACCATTCTACTTCTCTTTTATAAAAGCGCTTGTGATTATATTGCACCACCTCAAAAATCCAAAATATTTTACCTCTCTCAAGAATCTTAATCTCATCTGCAAAGTCGCTTTTGTCATTTAAAGTTACACTTCACATTCCCTTGAAATTAGGAGGTAGGTATCTTTATGGAGTTATTATTCTGTCTACCTAACTGACCAATAACATATGTACTTAAGTTATGGCAGTGGTATTAATTCCTACACCAATACTCCTAGGAAAACCAGCTTTCCCTTTTTACTCAAGACTGTACCAATTTTGTCACCAAAAGTCCAGTGTGTTGTTATACCTCCTGTTCTAGTCACATTGGAATGGCTAGTCATCTTACCTGGGTCCGCAGGCAGCTCTAGTCTTTATTCATTCTTCAAACAAAAATATTATATCTGTGTCCTGAGCAGTGCTGACTTTTAACTACAGGATATTTGGCTAGATATGGGTTGGCCATGGTTAAGGGACTGGGTTTGGAAAAAACTAAAAAATTGTGAGTAGTATGAAATCCAGCAGGGACACTAATGTATATATGATCATTCTTCCTGATGTCTCATGGCTACTCCTATGGCTTTTATTATCAAATGAATAACGAAAGCTAACCTATTTCACTGTTAAAATGTGTCAACCTCTAGGTCACTCAAATAAAATCAGAGATTCAAGGACCCTCAGGGAAGGTGTGGCTATTGTCACAAAATTTGGAATAAGAATTTTGGATTCGTCATCTTTTTATTTTTCTTACATTTGCTGGAAATTTTTAAATTTTAGAATGATTACTATAAATTATGCCAAAGCTATTGTTCACGTAGACCCACAGACAAAAGCTCAATTCAAAAATCTGTGTATATATGTATAAATAATTTAAATGAAAGCTCATTTCTATTTCTATATTTTGCTTAGTAGCAAGTAGAAATATTTTACATTTATTGCTAAGACAAAAGATTTTAACTAAACTCTACTGGATGACCTTTTGCAATAATTATAAAATTTACTCAGAAATAACATAATAATTTTAACTCTTGGTGACAATTCTAAGATTCATGATAATTGCTCATAAATACTATCATATTTAGTTAAATTTAAAATGTCTTTGTTTCAAGTAAAATTTCTAACACTTAAAATATGTACTAGAGATAATTGAGTTGATCTCCTTTAGGACTTAGGCATTAAACATATCTGAACAAAGATACTTTCAGGAAAGGCCACAACAGGTGCCTTCCAGGACTATTTCCGTTTTAATTATCTCGGTGATTAACGATTTGGTCACTCTCTTTCCCCAGTCTCCTTTATCTACATCTGGGAAGAAATGGATATTTTTGTCCAATACATCAAACATGAAAATCTATGAATTCTTAAGCTATATTATTCACAAACTTCTCAGCCAAACATGACCACACTGCAAATATGATAAACATCAAACACATTAAACACACACAAATACACAAATACACACATACACACACACATGCAATAACAAAATAATAATGTCAAAAAAAGATACTGAAAAACATGCATAATTTCAGGAAAGCAAAATCTAATATGTACTTCTGAAAAAGTTTTAGAAAAAACACAGAAGGAGCCATACAAAAGGGCAGAATACACTGGAATTTAAAAGACAAGCTACATTTGTGAGATGTCATAATTATTCCTTTAAAAGTAATCCTGGTTTCTAGAGAGTCTAACAAAAAGAAGTCCAAGAAAGATTTTTGGACTAGAAAAAAACATATAAGTAAGTAATTAAAAGTCAGGAATCACTTGGGAAAAATTTATTGTGTATTACTTGTTATAACATACTAAAAAGTTTTTATCATATACTAATTTGTCAATTTTGTTTTTTGGTATAATAAGGCGAGTGGAAATGCAAGCAGTTGTAGGGATAATTCTTTACTTACAAAGTGTGAACTGCCAAGCATCCAAACAAGAAAGAACATGTACTATAAATAATAAAAAAATGTCAATAACATTAATAAAACAGTAAAAACCATATCTGGAAATTCTGAAGAAATCCTTGAAATGAAACTAAACTTACAAAACAATGTATTAAGCAAATTAATACTATGACAATAATCTGGAAACTAGCCCAGGAGTTAAGAGATAGATAAATAAGAAACATTCTACAGTCTTAGGTTATTTTAGCTTTAAAGTCTGAATAAAGGGTGTGATTTCATTTTTTAAATTGATCTCCACATTTTGCATCAACTTGTCAATATTAATATACTATATTTTCTGTTAGATACAATTTTATATTGTATCGCATTCCATTTTCCATTTGTTATTTTTGGTAATATTTTTCTGTTCATTTTATCTTAATATGAAATTTACTCACCCTAATTACATTGTAAATAAACTATAAAAGCTGAACTGTCAGCGCTTAATGTAAAAGTCAGAGAAAAAAGCCAGTAGCTATTTGTAAAATTATATATTGGATATTATTATTGCTGCTATTGAAAGATAAACATTTTTGTGCCTGTAAAACACAGTAACAAATCAAATCATAAAAACAAAAGGGGAAAAAAAGAGAATAGTAGATAAAAAAGCCAAAAGATAACTTCCTCCGCTAAAGTCTGTTTATCTCAGGTTCCTACTTTATAAATATATATACATCTATATAATACTTTAATGTATGTAAATACATATATACATAAATATGAATTTATGCATAAATACATATTAAACATGAATATGTGTGTATATATGTATTTTTTCTATTGAAACCCAATTATAATTTGCAAGAAAAGAGTTCTTATGATAACTCTGAAATGTGGGTGTGCTAGTAAGCTCATTATATTTAAAGGCAAGACTTAATATGGTCACTTATACCCCAGATTACTGATTGTAAGACAATATATTATTTTGGATGATTAGAATGAAAACATAGAAGAAAGAGAAAAGAAAAGAAGAACAGGGGCTATTAATGATCTATTGCTGTATAATAAATTTCCTCACAATTTAGTGGCTTAAAATAATAAATGTGTTTTTTCTTACATTGTTTCTGGGTCAGAAAATCAGGTGCATAAAAGTTTAATTGTCCTGCTTTGGAGACTCACAGGAAGTTGCAGTTAAGATTTTAGCCAGGACTACAGTCATAGTAAGGCTCCACTATGGCTGGGAGATTTATATCCAAGATGGCTGGCTAACATGGATGGTAAGTTGGTCTTGGCCATCAACAAAAGGTGACAGCTTCAGACCATGTGGACCTCTCCATATGGCTGTTTGAATGTCCTTACAACATGGCAGTAGGCTTCCCTCAGAGCAAAATATTAAATAAAACAAAATGAAGTCACAATTTCTTTTATAACCTAAACTTGAAAGCCACAGTATGCTATTAATTCTACAAATCAGTCATGTTTATGGCTTATGGTCAGAGAGGACTACATAAAAATATGAATACCTGGAGATGAAGTTCACTGTTTATGCTCTTGTGGGCTAAGAATCCCGGGAAAGAAAAAAAATATATTGAAAATTAAATATATATTTTCTCTAAAATTCAGTTTTTGTTTTAATACTCCAATAGATTTTAGATTGAATGATTAAAGGAATTCTCCTCTATATTGGGCCAATGAATAAGTCTCATTTCCTAACCCACTCAAAACAAGTGTGTGTACTAGGGGCCTTGTACTAGTTCACTGTTACACATAGGATTCCTCAAATTCTTCTTTTGACTTTGCTTCTAGGGAAGATCACTCAAGTTTTCTGAAGACACTTGAGGATCTGAATATAATTTTTTAGAATTTAATACAGTATTCCATTTGGAATGAGATTTTATCATACAAGGTCTGGATAAGTCAGCTTTTTTACCATGCATGAAAAAATTCTCACTCAATCCTTAAGGATTCCATTACATTCAGACCCAGGTAACTTGCTTCTGGTTGGAAAAGCAAACTCTGGATTCACTCTGGAGGAGTGGGTTACCACATTCAGTTATTTCTCATCAATTAAAGAATAAGTCCAAAAAGTTTTAGAAAAAGGAAGCAGCTAGTATAGCAGTCTTGGCAGAAAAACTATAAAGAAGACAGGTGAATCCCTAGTGCGTTTAGGGCATGAGGTAGGGCAGCAGTTCTCAACCTTTTTGGCACCAGCGACCAGTTTTGTGGAAGACAATTTTTCCAGGGATGGAGGGTGAGGGATGATGGATGATGGTTTCAGGGTGAAACTGTTCTACCTCAGATCATCAGACATTAGATTCTCATAAGGATCACACAACCTAGATCCCTCACATGCACAGTTCACAATAGGGTTCATGCTCCTATAAGAATCTAATGCCACAGCTGACCCAACAGGAGGTCCTTCCACCACTCACCATCTGCTGTACAGCCTGGTTCCTAACAGGCAATGGACCAGTACCCATCTGTGGCCTGGGGGTTGGGGACACCTCGGGTAGGGTAAAGATTACACATACCATTAATCAATGTTTATGCAATTACTACTCTAGGAAAATTTACTTCATAAAAATTTTGAGTTCTAAGAGAGATATTATTTGGAGGAACATAAAATATTCCACAGGTGATATTTTACTAAGTACCCTTCACAATCTTCTCTTCCTAGCTGGACCTCTAGATGGCTGTTCTTTTTCATATATCCCCCCATATAATGTTTCATTTTTTGTACCCAACCAAATCTGTTATCCCAAGTAGAGGGGATTTTTTTGTAGCTGTTGCCTTCCATGTAGCCGATTCCATACTACCAATTCTCATCAGAAAGCAGTGGGCCTGAATATGTCTCTTTCCCTGTCACATTCTTCAAGAGAAATATTCTTCAAAAAATTTTTTTCTTCAAGAAATATGGTGGCCTACTTTTTTTCCACCATGAGAGAAATGAATGAGGAAGATACATACAGTTTATATGTGGCACCCGACCCTCGTGATTGCCATACACAATCGTTTCCGCAGGGCGTGGTCGCTCATGCCTGTAATCCCAGCACTTTGGGAGGCCGAGGCGGGTGGATCACGAGGTCAGGAGATCGAGACCATCCTGGCCAACACTGTGAAACCCCGTCTCTACTAAAAATACAAAAAATTAGCTGGGCGTGGTGGCAAGCGCCTGCAGTCCCAGCTACTCGGGAGGCTGAGGCAGGAGAATGGCGTGAACCTGGGAGGTGGAGCTTGCAGTGAGCCGAGATTGTGCCACTGCACTCCAGCCTGGGCGACAGAGCGAGACTCCATCTCCAAAAAAAAAAAAAAAAAAAAAAAAAAATCGTTTCCGCCTCTTCTTTTATGAAATTAGAATAAAGGTCCCTTGGGAATATTTCAGCAGCAGAGAGAATTCATGAAGATAATTTCACAATCTGGAAAGGATTATGAGCTTGCATCAGGTTCCTCTCTCCAACTCAAATTTATTGATGAGTCATTCCCTCTGTCTCTTTGCTTTGAGGAAAGTGGTGTGTAAGTAACTGTTATTAGTGCAAACAGAAATAACAGAATTCAAAGATACATGGAAAAATGGGGAGAGCTCTAAATTCAGATTCTTTGCAATTTGCATGCAACCCTCACTGAATCACACACTGGATGTGTCATTCACACTAAAGTGATTAATTTTGGGATGAGTATGGCAGAGTTATTTTCTTAGACACAGTCTTGTACAAGATGCTTATTCAAAGAGCAGCACATAAAAAGTATCAGAAACAATCCTCACAGAACCTAGGAAAATCTTTTACTTTGCTTTATTTCTGAATCTATCCCACATAACTTGAAATCTTCTCGATGTCAGGTAATGAATGATTATGCTTTTTATTTAGACAAAGTGATTTAGAAATTTTCTAGCTTCTAGCGTCAAGCTTCGGGGCCTTAACACTCATTTACTAATATCTTCAAGTATGTCAAACTCATTGTGCTAAAGATTAATATTTTATTTTCATGTTAAACAAAGTATCATTTTGTTATTGGGCTCAATTTAACTTAGAAGGAAGTAAGATATTAGACTTTTATTATTTGTCTCCTTTCTAATAGGAAACCTCATTTTTTCTTCCCTGACCTTTTTTTTTTGTTTGCAAGCAACTAACTAGGATATCATCAATTAGAAAACCCAAGGCCCTTAAAGGAACCTCAGTTTCATTATAACTCAGGTTTCTTTTTTTTCAATGTTTAGCCAACCTTTATGCATCAAACATACCACATTGAGAATGGGGCTAGAAAGATTTAAGGTCATTAAAGAATGACCATCATTGTGGATACCAAGTTCATAATCAATATTAATGTCTAATGACATGTCCTTAAGCACCCAACAGTTCAATAGCCTTACCTAATCCTAAACCTTATGAAAAGTTCCATCCAAATGTCAACTGGAATTTCTGAGAAATTAAATAAAACTAGGGTATTATTGTTATCACAGATGAGTCTGATAACTAGAATCACCATGAAGTGTCTACTACGCAGTTGTTCTAGCTATAGCTCCACCTTGCCTAAGTTTACTGTCTTCCACCTGTCTTTAGGTACCCCAATACTGTTTACCGATTTAATTCCTTGTGCGAATGCTAATATTGTTGTGACAGGTGCTCTAAAATCACATACTTTCTGATGGAACAGATGACAACATTTTTTAAATGTTATTTTAAACATTTTAAATAGCAGATCTATTATCTATTTTTTTTCAAAACCAGCTAAACAAACAGAAACTAACAAAGCAAAATCTTATCTAAATTTCTTTAGAATTTGGAAATACATCTCTTATACTCTTGTTCATACAACCCTGCTCATCACTCAAACACAACCTGATCTGTCTTTACATAAACACACACACACACACACACACACACACACAGAAATAAAAACTTCAAACATAGTGCCTGTTCAGGTAGATACCTTAATATATATGGCTAGTGGATAGAACTTAGCTCCTCTAACCAAATATATGTCTTCACAAACAGAAAGTGGGCATGATGGGTCCTAGAGCTCCTCCAATTCATTTTAGATTTCAGGCCTCTAGAACTGTAAATTATAAATATGTGCCATTTTAAGTCACTAACCTTGTAGTGTTACTTCTAAGACAGCAATAGGAAATTAACACAAATTATTATTCATTTGGTGAAGCACTATCTCTGAGAGATGACTAAAAAGTTATCAACTGTGTTAGGCTGTTTTTGCGTTAGTATAAAATACCTGAGGCTGGGTAATTTATAAAGAAAAGAGGTTCGATTGGCTCATGGTTCTGCAGTCTGTACAGGAAGCATGGTGCTAACATCTGTTCAGCTTCTGGTGAAGGCCTCAGGAAGCTTACAATCACGGTGGACATCATGGCACTTAGCAGGAGTGGGATTATGATCACAAAGGAGGAGCTTCCAGACCCTTTTAAACAACCACGTCTTGTGTGAATTAACTGAGCGAGAACTCCCTCAGCACTAAGGAAATTGTATTAAGCAATTAATGACGTCCACCTTCAACACCGGAAATTACATTTCTTTGTATTTAAAAAAAATTTAAGTTCAGAGATACAACTGCAGGTTTGCTAGAAAGGTAAAACTTGTGTCATGGGGATTTTTATACATATCACTTCATAAATCAGGTATTAAGCCTACTACCCATTAGTTATTTTTCCTTATCCTCTCTCGCCCCTCCCACCCTCCACCCTAGAA
Source organism: Homo sapiens (assembly GCF_000001405.40). Lineage (NCBI taxonomy): Eukaryota > Metazoa > Chordata > Mammalia > Primates > Hominidae > Homo > Homo sapiens. The sequence continues at coordinate 26,831,578 of NC_000005.10, read as the reverse complement.
AAGGCCCCAATGTCTGTTGTTTCCCTCTATGTGTTCTCATCATTTAGATCCTATTTATAAGGGAGAACATGCAGTATTTGGTTTTCTGTCCCTGACTAGCCATATGCAGAAGATTGAAACTGAATCCCTTTCTGACACCATGTACAAAAATTAACTCAAGTGAGAATTACAGTTCAAAATGAGATTTGGAGGGGACAAACATCCAGACCATATCTGCAACAAAGAAAACAGAGGGTTGGGCCTGGCATGGTGGCTCACACCTGTAATCCCAGCACTTTAGGAGGGCGACATGGGTGGATCACTTGAGCCCAGGAGTTTGAGAGCCGCCTGGCCAACATGATGACACTCCGTCTCTACTAAAAATACAAAAATTTGCCTGGCAAGGTGGCGGGCACCTGTAATCCCAGCTGTTTTTGAGGCTGAGGCCAGAGAATCTCTTGAACTCTGGAGGCGGAGGTTGCAGTAAGCCAAGATGCCGCCATTGCACTCCAGCCTAGGTGACAAGAGCGAAACTCCATCTCCATAACAAGTATATGCTGGATTGCTTTTCTTTGGATATTCTTAAAGGGCTCTTCAAAGACATGACTGTGTTAGTCCATTTTTTGCGCAGCTATAAAGAACTGCCTGAGGTTGGGTAATTTATAGAAGAGGTTTAATTGACTCACAGTTGCACATGGGTGGTGATGCCTCAGGAAACCTACAATCATGGTACAAGGTGAAGGGAAAGCAAGGCACTTATTACCAAGGTGGAGCAAGAGAGAGAGAGAGAGAAAAGGGGGTATTGCCTAATACTTTTAAACCATCAGGTCTCTTGAGAACTCACTCACTATAATGAAAACAGCATGGGGAAAATCGCCCTCATAATCCAATCACCTCCCACCAAGTCCCTCCCTCGGCATGTGGGGATTATAATTGGAGATGAGATTTGGGTGGGGACACAAAGCTAAATCATATCAGTGACATGGTGAGACATAAAAATAGAAGGAATCAAACACTTAAGGACACAACAGAGATTAAGCTAGAGTGTATTCTTCTGGTAATAGGAAAATACATGGATAAAGTCTCCAGGGAGGAAAATAGCCTGTCACATTTACAAATTAAGAGAGTACCAGTTTGGCAGAACATTGAAAATTAGGTGGGGAAATATTACTTTACGAAAGACAGACCAGAATAGTTGTAAAGTTATAATTGATCTATCGCGTAGGGAAAGTATGTTACACTGCATGAAAAGTGTTACAAAAAAGAAGGAATCCTTGTGGGATACAGGAATCTATCTGTGAGGTTCTTGCTAAGGAAAATGTGGTCCATGAACCAGCAGCATTATCAGCTTCTGGAAGATTGTTAGAAAAACAAAAACTATCCCCATCCCTGACCTACGAAATCAGAATCTGCATTTTAACAAGATTCCCAGGAATTCATACGTAATTCATGAAAGTTGGAGAAATACTGAACATTCTGATTAAATTTACCTGAAATGGTTGAGCTGGGGAAATTTTGCTCTTCAATTGTACTTTACATAATAAGGGGCTAGGATTTGGTCTTGAATTAGAAAATATATGCTTTTTCTTTATAAGAGGAGAAAAAGTGGAGAATATGGTGCAACTGCAGTTCAAGTATGCACACTTTTTATTTTTTGTAATTTTGAAAAATTAAAAGCATTGGCATCTTCCTTCCTTAATATCGTCATAATATAAATGCGAAGGGTATCAGCTGAGAACAAAGAAAAGGAAGACATTCAAGTTTTAGAAGAGAAAAAATTGGTTCAAATTGTATTTATTCATTCTCATATGAATAACAGCATTAATAAGAACAAACATGTATTTTTGTACTTAAAATGTACCACACAGGAATCAAAGAGTTTTATAGGAATTGTAGCATTTTTTGAAGTTCTATTTTGGTTTTAACTGATTCATGGTTTTAATTGATTCATAGTTTTAGATATTTGTGGGTACAGTGCGATGTTTCAATACATGTATACATTGGGTAATAATCAAATCAGGGTAATTAGCATATCCATCACCTCAAATACTTGTCATTTTTTGTGATGAGAACATTCAAAATCCTCTTTCTTAGCTAGGAAATAAAAATACATTATTGTCAACTGTAGTCACCCTATGGTGCAACACCAGAACTAAGTCCTCCTATGTAACTGTAACCTCCCTCTGAGTTGAGTGTTATTAGGACTCCATTTTCATATATAACAAACTAAGGCACAAAGATGTTAAGAAAATTACTTGGTATCAGAATGTGAGTAGTGCAACCATGTTTTGAAAAACAACTTTTGATTTTGGAGTCCTCTAACGGCACATGTATCATTTGTTTGTTGCTTAATTACATACGTGTCTGTCCTCTCACTGTTTGTGAGCTCACTGAGAGCTTTACTTAACCCTATTTCTGTAGCTTCCCAATACATTGCCCCTTGGAGCAGATTTTCTCTAGATGTGTGCTGAATCTTAACTCTATTTTAAGGTACCTAGAAAATCAATATATATCAAGGCAGAGGCTAGATACGTAAGCATCTTTTCTTTTTATTTTGTGTGTTTGACAAAATTTGTTATCAGTTTCTCAGATAAATAGAAATATATTTGAGAAGAGAAAGAAAGATCCTGATAGTAGGCACCATTTACATCCTATGATTTCAGATTGATAATTAGTTAGAAATTATACTGTAAGCCTGTTTTCCTTTCTAAGGTACTGTATTTGTATCACAGAGTATGTAAAAAGAGTTTTCTTTTAGAGTTAAAGAAATAGAGCAAGGTAAAGTTTAAACATGATTGTGATTTTATTCTTAAAATAATCTGGAAGGATGTGAAAGAGACAGTGAGTTCTAAGTGAGGATGTGAAGTTGTGCCAAATATATGTTAAGACTTTTTCTTGCTAAAAACCTTTAGGTATTGAAATACTCGCTTATAGAAGTAACAGAAAAACAGACTAATTGTTTTACTTAATCAAAGGTCAATTTAATGGAACTGAAAGGAGCCAGGTGCACTTTCCCTGGAAGAAAGAAAGAAAGCCAGAGGGCTGGGTGTTACATGGGTAAGAGCAGCCAGAAATAAATAAATAAATAAATAAATAAATAAATAAATAAATAACAAATTAGAGAAAAAACAATGACAATGGAATTATTCAAATAAAATGCAGTATTCAGTGTACAATGCAATTTGACCCTTCTTGTAACCCCACATATCTTGAATAAAATTATAAAAAACCAATTATACTGCTATTATTAGATGCTGTTTGGAAGCCAATGAAGGGATGAGTTTTATGTCAGAGCCATCTGGGGCCAAAAGGACAGTCATCTATCTGGATTACCATTCTTAATTCAGTTGGATTTTTTTTTCTGCTAGATATCAAACATAGGGGAAAAATAAATTACATGCTTTACTTTAAAGTTTCATAGTCCGCATAATTTTGAATGTTTGTATTTGCTTTAAGCTGTTTTTCCTCCATAATCTCTCATGCTAATAATATTAGCCTCAAAAATACTAAAAGAAAAATGTTTAGTACCACTTATATCAGTGAGATTTATCAGATAATATTTATTAAGGCACTCATGCACAAAATGGTACAACAAGTTTTCTAAGATACTGATTAAAATATACAGTGATTTGCCTTTTGGTAAGTATTTATCTCCATTGCACATGGATACATGCTCTTACAAGACCTACTCCTCAAAAATATTTATTTTATAAAATCTACAGTTAAAATATGTTCTCATGATAACACCTGTCTTATTCTGTTCTCACAATGCTAAACAGACATACCTGAAACTGGGTAATTTATAAATAAAATAGATTTAATTGGCTTAAGGTTCTGCAGGCTGTACAGAACTCAAAAACAATTCTACTTCTGGGGAGACCTCAGGAAACTTGCAATCATGGCAGAAGGTGAAGGGGAAGCAAGCACATATTCACATGGCTGGCAGGAGATAGAGAGAGAGAGAGAGAGAGAGAGAGAGAAAGGGGGACAAGCTACACACTTTCAAACAATCAGATCTCATGGGAACTCATTCACTATCACAAGAACAGCAAAGGGAAAATCCTCCCCCGTGATCCAAACACCTCCTACCAGGCCCTTCCCCCAAAATTGGGGCTTACAATTCAACATCAGATTTGGGCAGCGACACAGAGCCAAACTATATCAACATCTATCAGAGATCAGTACAAGAGAGCAGTTGATAACATATTTTTAAAACATTCTGACATTAATATAGCAAGTTAGATGTTATTATGTTTCATTTTTAATGAGAAAATAATGTCATGGAGTGATAATATTTTATAAATAGATAATATTTATTGAACTTTAACTACACTGTATTATTTTCCTAGAGCTGCCCTATAAATTACCACAAACTGGGTAGCTAATACAACATAAACTTATTTTCCTGAGTTCTGGAAGCAAGAATTTTAAAACAAAGGTGTCAGAAGGGCCATGACCTCTGCAAAGTCTCCAGGAAGGACTCCTTCTTTGCCTTCTCGTAGGTTCTGGTGGCTCTTGGCATTCCTTGGATACAGCTGCATCACTCCACATTCTGCCTCCATCTTCACATAGACTTCTACCCTATTTCTCTTTGTGTCCTGTCCTCTTATAAGGGTACCTGTTAGTGTATTGAGGGCTTACCCTATTCCTATATGATTTCATCTTAACTTTATTATATGTACAAAGAATCTATCTCAAATAAGCTCATATTCACAGGTACCAGAGGATCAGAGGTTAGAAATTGAACATGTCTTTTAGGGAGACACAACTCAACCCACAGTAGGTGACAAATATTTTTATTCTATTACCTCATTAAATCTTCAGGTTAAACCAAGGAGGTAAGTATTTAATAATTTTACCTTTGCCTTTTATTTGAAAACCTTGTGGACAAGAAAATCTTTTATACACAACCATTCAACAAGTTGCAGTTAGAATTGGAATTCTCACCCAAACTGTTTTAATTCAGAGCTCAGAAACAAGCTAGATGTCTTAAACATGTAAAAAGCTCTCTTCAAACCCCATAGTTTGTGTTCTTTTCATTACATAAGCGCCACCTCCTAAATATCAATGCTTACCTCATAATTATGTTTATTCTGGTTGCTCAATAACTAGATATTGAAAAGATAGCCAATTCTATTTTTTTCTCCTTTTTTTTTTATTCTTCACTTCAATTGATATTTATTAACTATTCAAAGCCAGGCATTGATCTAGGCACTGGACATATGGCACTGAACAAAACTGACAAAAAATATACACTCATAAAGATTGTAGTCTAGTGATGGGTTTATAGTCTATGTAGGCTTCACCGTAGTATCTTGGATACTACCTACGTATGTATGCGAAAATAGATTATATTTTTTACGTAATATTATTACCATAGAACTCAGTTCATTTTTAAGGATATTATCTCAAAATATTATTGTAAGAAAGCATTAAAAGAAGAATTCCAAATCAGGACCTCAAAACAGAAATAACGATTGAAATTCTGACCATTTTCTACAACCTGTAGTTTGAGAATTTCTTTGGAGACAGAAATAGAATTGTTTATGTACAGCTGAACATAAGTTGATTTGAAAATACCAGGGGGATTTTCTGAAATGTATGCAGAATATTTCTGTAAGAAGTGCTTGGTGTCTTTCTGTAGTGCTTTAGCTAATTCTGCAGAGTGTTTAACTGTCAGTGGTACTCTCTTGTTCAGTAATTGACTAGCACTGAGAAGCCAGATGACCTTTAAAAATGCCAGCTTCTGATCAAGACCTGATGTTAAAGTCTTTAAGAGACTACAGATGGCTGTATAGGATGTAGCTGCTCCTGTAGCTATCATTCTTTCACTCCAAATGCCAAATTAGTATCAACTTTCAGTTGACGCATAAGGGTGATGACTGTTATTTCTCATTACAATAACATTCTGAGTTAAAAACCTATACGGTCATCATGAAAGCAAAAATTAAAATAAAATAACAGAAAATATTTGAAAGACATTTTCCAGCATTTTTTGCATATGGTTTTTATACAGCTGAACAGTAAAAATATGTGGAAATAAGTTATAAGCTTTTGTTATGCTCTCTATATTATACTCAGAATTTAAAAAATACAGTTCAGACATCTTTTTATTTTTCCAGTGTATGGCAGCATCATTGGGTGAATAAAAGGTGATAATTTTAATAGTAAAATCACCCCCAGTGTCATCCTAGACCCTTTGAACAAATATGGCATCCAGAATAATATTAAACAGCTCTAGTAGAGTAGTGGAAGTTAATAAGTTATAGTCAATTTAATAGAACATAATTTAGTATTTTTAAGTTATATTTAATATTTGAACTAGTGAAATAATATAATTGGATAGAACCTGAAAATCATAAAATATCATACAAGAACACTATACTTTATTAATCTGTCAGATATTCTATTAGTTCAATCTTGATATCTAAGGTTATATTTTGAGTATTATAAAAGATAGTCATGAGACTTTTAATATGGAACATATTTTAGAGATCTTGTTGATATTTTCTCTCTTTTTCATGAGACTCTATAAGAAAAAAAATTATTCTTAACTTCCATTGTCTTGAAAATATGAGCTTCTCAAGATATTTTGTATTTAACTAATTTTTCTTATTGTAACTGATTGTGATTATTTTTCTGTGTCAGAAAGAATCTTGTAGCTGACTTAGTAGAACAAGTCTAAAAATTATACATGATCTAAGAGCGTATGTTTTCATGTATTTTTTTTAGTTATTGTTTAATTTCCACTTTTATTTGCCGTTTAGCCTAGCATTTTCCTTTGTTCTTGCAAGCACTGTAAGTAACTTATAAGTTGAGTACGATGCAAAGAAATGTACAGATAATGAGCAAACAAATAAGAAAAAGAGAAAATCTACTAGCAGTGGTTATAGTTGGGGAACTTAGGTTACATGTGATATTACCTGTCATAGTTTCTGTATCTGCACTTTAATCAAATTTCTGAGATCACAAAAATTACATTAAAAACAAACCCTGAATATTGCAAACATATTTGATAAATATGACTTTTAGCTGGTAAAATTTATTTAGCACACTAAAGAATAAATATTCCACATAAACTTTAAATAAATATTCCACGTACTTTGAAAATGCTGGTAAAACCAAGAGAAAAAAATAGACGAAAATAATTTTAGGTGCAAAGGGGTAAAGACAGACTTAGAAACAAGATTAGGTATGCAATAAATTATTTTTTACCTATTTTCTCCTATGCTGAGAATTTTCTTATATAGGGTAAAAATAATGTCCAAGTATTCATTTAGTAATTCATTTATCCAATAGGTATTGAATGTCTTTATGTGACAATCTGTTAGTTTTGAGTACCTACAAGAATATCAACAATGAAATAAGTAGCAATTCATGAAAATATTTTCATGTACATTATTATACAAAAATTATTAATAAGAATAAACTTTACTAAGAATGATGTACACAGTAACATTATAGCATTCTATAAATATGGTTACCATTATTCTTTCAAATTTACATTATATTCTGTATTTTAAATGGACTTTATATCACCTTTTTCAAAATATTCTCTATATAAAACTTAAGGCAACTTTAATTGTATTTTATGTCAAAATTCACTGGTATCAGAGTATCACTAGTTCTATGTAATATGAATGGATTGGCCAGTCTCACTTTCAGAGTAAGTTCAGTTTTTAAAAAGATGTTATATCCTTTCTATATATTGGTGTATGAAACGTTCGAATTTATATACCACTGTAACATCCCAGTCTTAATGAAGTCAAACTCTGTCAATAATACTTAGTTGAAACATCTAGAAAGGAATTAAATGTTTACTGTTTTAAGCTAGTCCTAGTGCAAAGCTTGTATCAAATCTTTAGGGCAATGTATAGGAACACCAAAATAAGGGAAGAGGTAAGGAAGGAGGCCAATGTCTAAAATAATCTATTGATTTATTTTCTGGGATGTGTTTTACAAACATATGTCTATACTGATGCTTTCGCAGGGCTTCTACTTATTTGAGGCACCATTCTTAGAAGGGAAACACATACATTGCTCTTCAGCCTTTGTTGAGGGGATCGTGAAATGTACAAATCAACTGAAAGCTCACTGAGAAATGAGCCTGGTACCATTTTTGTCAGACTCCTGACTGATCAAAACCAATTTATTTTTGGTCCTGATGAAGAAAAGGCAGTGAATAATTGAGTCTTGGAAGATATTATCTTTCAGAATTTTTAGCTTCATTTAAATAATTACATTTTGATATAATATTGGATTTTATTTTCTTTTTGCCAGTAAATCTATATGCAACTAGCCTTTCTATAAAGATTGGGGTTTGCTGGCCGGGAGCGGTGGCTCGAGCCTGTAATCGTAGCACTTTGGGAGGCCGAGGCAGGCGGATCACGAGGTCAGGAGATTGAGACCATTCTGGTTGACAGTGAAACCCCGTCTCTACTAAAAGTACAAAAAATTAGCCGGGCGTGGTGGCGGGTGCCTGTAGTCCCAGCTACTTGGGAGGCTGAGGCAGGAGAATGGCGTGAACCCAGGAGGCGGAGCTTGCAGTGAGCCGAGATCGTGCCACTGCACTCCAGTCTGGGCAACAGTGCAAGACTCCGTCTCAAAAAAAAAATAAATAAATAAAATAAAATAAAAAAGATTGGGGTTTGTTAATTTAACCTGAAATTTAATCTTGTTGTAATGTATTATATAGCTACTCAAGAAAAATATATCAATGAAACCAATACAAGTAGTGCAATGTCTTCAAGTAAATTTTGCTTATATTTTTTGTCCTATGTTTGTAATGTCTTCACCATTAAAATAAGTTATTTTTATAAGTTTACTGTTGAATAAAATCTTTAAGTACAAGAAACATTTCTCTAAGACACTTGTCACATTGAAGAAATATTGGTTTTATACTTAATGTTAACTTTTGTATTAAAACTCTTTCCCACAATAAAAATACAACAACAACAAAAATTGCCCACCAGCAAACCCTGAATTTTAGGTTGTATTTAAAAACACAAACACAAATTATTCCAAATGTGCACTAACGACACCTAACACAGATTTTGCACATGTCCATATTTGTAGTTTGATTGTTGGTTTATAATTTATTTAATTTTTTCAAAAATATGCAAATGACTCAGCTTGTTCAATATAACCCAGTCCTAAAATTCAAAAACAATCATTTTCCTTTAAATCTAGTATATCTTCTAATTTATTTAAGTTAGTTTAACTTCATACTATCAAATTTAGGATAATTTTGTTTTCTGTTTAATATGGATTAATGGTTGACCTTCTTTACAATTGGTAATACCTACAACTGTATTATATTCTTATCCTGACCCCTAGTATTTATTTAGTGATATTAAATCTTGTCATTTCATCGTGTAACTGAACAATAAATCTTGGTTAGATAACTTTGGCTCAGTTGCTGTAGATAATCTAAGCAATAAGAAAACCTTCATTTAAACCCACAACATTTTAAAAAGCAGGATTTAAAAAATTCAAGTTGGACTAATTTATATTGCATTTTGTTAAATACGAAACAAGATGGCTTTAAAATATGGAATTGTATGCAATTTCCTATATATAAGCATAACTGAAGGAATCATAGCATCTAATAATGTGGGCATACATATTTTGAATGCATAGTAAATAAATAAAGACTAATTTCTATTTAATAAATTGAAAATAATTTAATACTAATTAAGACAATTCTGAGAAATGTTTCTATGTTTTAGTTTTTTTTAAATTTTTGAACTTCTAATGATAGTAAGTTTTTAGAGATAGAGTCCAAACTTGATTTTCTCAGTTTAAAATAGATTATGAATTTAAAAATATATTTGGCTTTCTTCTCCAAATCACCAAAACTAAATAAAATATATTAGATATTACATTTCCTTAATCTAATTTAAATGTATACATGTATTTATTCATAAAAGTTGCTTTTCTTTGTATGTAGTACAGATATAACAAAATATTCTAACAAAAAGTTATAACTGAGTTTTCAGGAAAATTCTTAAACAAAACATATTCCAAATAATTTTGTCTGTATCTTGTAAGCCTTTGCTTTGTAAATAATTATATGGAAGCAATGAAACAATTAACCCATAAAATTTCCTGAAGAAAGAGGATGTTTAATGGGAGTAAGCAGAACAAATTTCTAGAAAATCGAATCTGCCCCTCTTCAACTTGAATTGAGCTGGAAGATGTTACTCTCATTTTCCAGAGCCTTCCAATCCCATTATAAGGGACCTGCCAGTCCTACTTTGTAAAAAGGCATTTGCAGAAGTGAGCTTACAGTGGAGAATGAAGCGGAAGATTAAAGCTGAGAGCTAGAACATGGCACAAATGAGGAGAAGCTATCACCAAATAACCACAAAATGACTTTTATTTATTGTTTATGATATACTAGGTACTTTTCTAAGCACTTTACATACATTAACTCATTAATCCTCTCAACCAGCCTAAAAGGGAGTTCCACTCGTTATTTCTCTCTCACCCTGTCTTTTTTTAACAGAGGATAAAATTCAGTATACTAAAGGCCACAGTTTATTGAGATATATTTTCTGCAAATTTAAACATTTCTGAATTAATGTTTACATATCTTACAAAGAATGATATCTTAGATTCATGGGAGAATAAGTTATCCAAAATTATGCAAATAATATTTACTGAACTTTAGATTCAGCCCCAGACAGTCTGCTCTTGTTCTCTTAACTACATTAAGCAAAGAAACACAGTACCAATAAGTAGAAATCAACAGAATAAATGGTTTTTGACTAAACACATCCTTTGAAGACCATTTAAAGTTTAAATTTCAGCCAATTACTCACAAAAATAAATTGAGCTATATTAAGTAGGCAATAAATGCTCAAATTCTAGAAAACAAGCCACTCAAATGCACACTGGCCTGAGAAAAAGACCTGCTATAAAAGGATTAAGCCAAAAACGAAATGGTTATCAGAACAACAAACCACCATTATTCATCCCTAAGCCTATCACTTAATTTGTAAAGTTATTCAAGTTAATATTAGCAACACGCTCAATTGAATTTGTGATCTGCTATATATGCAAATGTGCTTAATTTTAAAAGAACATTAAATATATTTAGCCATCTGCATTGTATTAATAGTAAATGATTTCTCAATATATTTTTGTTAATTACATGCATTTTAAATAAAAGTATATTTAGCTACTTTAACATAATGACTATGGAGTTGGAAGATCCATAAATACCAACTGCAGCTACGAATCCAATATCAAGAATGAGCAGATTAGAAAAGCAGCAATATTTATTAAAAACTGTATGAATAAGCTTTTCTACTGGTGTATTTTCACATTATAACTATGTACCATTTTTCCTTCTTTCTTTAAATTCAAAATTCTATCACTATATCTTCCTTAATAGTGTTTCCTCATGCTCACAGCATTACCAATCTATTCATACTATTTACTCCAGTTTTTAAATTTTTTTTCAATAAACTGGTTTTGAAACTTAAATGGTCTGACCTTCATAATCTCTATGGCTACCTTTTTCTTTTCTCTGGAGTCCGAAACTTTGCTAATTTATTCAATGTTTTATGTTGTGTCTTCATGCAAGCTATTGCTTAAGAATTCTTCAGTTGATTTAAAATCCAAAAATACTTTAAATTTGTTAAATATCTTACCTATTTCAAGCATGTTTATTTGGCACATGATATTCAAAATGTGATAGACATTTGCATAACACTGAACGAGGACATCACATTTTGTTCAAAACAATTATTTTTTTGGCCCACTTGTCAACATGCCATAATTCTTCCAACAATTACTAACTATGACTTTGAGAAAGTTATTTAACTCTTTTTATTTCTACTTATTCATCTGTCAAGAAGATATAGTACCTACTTCATATTTTTCTTGTGTGAATTAACTGGGTAAATATAGGCAAAATATAATATTGCCTGGTAATCATTATGGAATTATTGTCATTACTGATATAAATTGATAATAAGAACTTCATAAAATTTATAAGACAAGGAAATAGCCACTCCTCAAATCATAAGACGTGGAATCATTAAATATTTAATGAAGCTAAGATACTAGCATGCTTTTAACAAACTATTGGAAATGATATAAAAGGCATATCTAAATAAATCCGTGGTATCTATTCCCATTCATACTCGTTTAAAACAATGATGTTTTTACATAAGTTCATTTAAAATTCATATTTGTAAACCTCAAATGGACACTAAGCAATGTCCCGCATTCTGTTATTTGATGTATCAAATTCTGAAGTGATTATTTAGCTTCTATTCTCAATTTCCACACACCTTCTTCCTCACACATAGTAGATTGTCTTGCCTTATACCGTTGTCAAGAAAATATACTATTTAAATGAATTTAATGCATCTTCCCAATACACAATCTGAAGTTCGACCTATAGCCCTCCCATTGCTCTTCAATCCTTTTATGCTGGAAGGTATTTTATTTCTCTTGCCTATGGTTAGTTTCTTCTTGCAGTCTGGATCCATAGCTGTCTTCCATCCTAAAGATGTCGTTTCCTAACTCATGATTTTAACTTGATATTAGATCATTTTATCCACATCCAAACATTATAATATCGCACTTCTTAAAACACACACACTAACCTTTTTATTTCAGATTTCAGACTGGCTTAAATATCTGCATCGCTTTTTAAATTTAATTTTATTTTATTTTACGTTCCTGGGTACATGTGCAGGATGTGCAGGTTTATTATGTAGGAAAACGTGTGCCATGATGCTTTGCAGCACTTATCACTCCATCACCTAAGTATTAAACCGAGCGTGCATTAGCTATTTTTCCTGATGCTCTTCCTCCCCACAACACACCCCCAACAGGCCTCAGTGTGTGTTGTTACCATCCCTGTGTCCATGTGTTCTTATTGTTCCACTACCACTTATAAGTAAGAAACATGCAATGTTTGGTTTTCTGTTCCTGCATTAGTTTGCTGAGAACAATGACCTTCAGCTCCATCAATGTCTCTGCAAAGGACATGATCTCTTTCCTTTTTATGGTTGCATAGTATGCCATGGTGTATATGTACCACATTTTCTTTATGTACTCTATCATTGATGGGCATTTGGGTTGATTCATGTCTTTGCTATTGTGAATAGTGCTGCAATAAACATATGCATTCATGTATCTTTAAAATTCAATAATTTATATTCCTCTGGATATACCCAGTAATGGAATTGCTCAGTCAAATAGTATTCCTGGTTTGAGGTCTTTGAGGAATCACCACACTGTTTTCCATAATGGTTGAACTAATTTACATTCCCACTGACAGTGTAAAAGCATTTCTATTTCTTTGCAGCCTCACCAACATTTGTTGTTTTTTTGACATTTTAATAATTGTCATTCTAATTGGTGTGAAATGGTATCTCATTGTGGTTTTGGTATGCATTTCTCTGATGATCAGTGATGATGAGCATTTTTTCATATCTTTGTTTTCAGCATAAATGTCTTCTTTTGATAAGTGTCTGTCCGTATCTTTTACCCACTTCTTAATGGAGTCAGGTTTTTTTTCGTGTAAATCTGTTTAAGTTTCTTGTAGACTCTGTATTTAGACCTTCGTCAGATGGATAGATTGCAAAAAAATTCTTCCATTTTTTAGGTTATCTATTTACTCTGATGATAGTTTCTTTTGCTGTGCAGAAGCTCTTTAGTTTAATTCAATTCAATTTGTCAATTTTTGCCTTTGTTGCCATTGCTTTTGCTGTTTTCATCAATAAATCTTTGTGTGTGCCTATGTCCCGAATGACATTGCCTAGATGTTCTTCTATGGTTTTTATAGTTCTGGGTTTTACATTTAAGTATTTAATCCATGTTGAGTTAATTTTTGTAAAAGGTGTAAAGAAGAGGTCCAGTTTCAGTTTTCTGCATGTGGCTAGCCAGTATTCCCATTACCACTTATTAAATAGGAAATTCTTTCCCCATTGCTTGTTTTTGTCAGGTTTGTCTAAGATCACATGGTCATAGAAGTGCAGTCTTATTTCTGAATTCTCTATTCTGTTCTATTGGTCTATGAGTCTGTTTTGTTACCAGTACCATGCTGTTTTGATTACTGTAGCCTTGTAGTGTAGTTTGAAGACAGGTAGTGTGATGCCTCCAGATTTGTTCTTTTTGCTTAGGCTTGTTTTGGCTATACAGGCTCTTTTTTGGTTCCATATGAGTTTTAAAGTAGTTTTATCTAATTCTGTGAAGAATGTCAATAGTTTGATGAGAATAGCACTGAATTTATAAATTACTTTGGGCATTGTGGCCATTTTCAGAATGTTGATTCTTTCTATCCATGAGAATGGAATGTATTTCCATTTCTTTGTGTCCTCTCTGATTTCCTTGAGCAGTGGTTTGTAGTCCTCCTTAAAGTTGCCCTTCATGTCCCTTGTTAGCTGTATTCCTAGGTGTTTTATTCTCTTTGTAGCAATTGTGAATGGGAGTTCATTCATAATTTGGCTCTCTGCTTGCCTGCTGTCTGTGTGTAGGAATACCTGTGATTTTTGCACATTGATTTTGTATCCTGAGACTTTGCTCTAGTTGCTTACCAGCTTAAGGAGTTTTGGGGCTTAGATGATGGGGTTTTCTATATACAGGATCAAGTCATCTGCAAAGAAAGACAATCTGACTTCCTCTCTTCCTATTTGAATATCCTTTATTTCTTTCTCTTGTCTGATTGCCTTTGCTAGAACTTCCAATACTGTTTTGAATAGGAGCCGTGAGAGAGGGCAACCTTATTTTGTGCTGATTTTCAAGGGAATGCTTCCATCTTTTACTCATTCAGTATGCTGTTAGCTGTGGGTTTGACAAAAATGGCTTTTATTATTTTAGGTATGTTCCTTTAATACCTAGTTTATTGAGGGTTTTTAACATGAAAGGATGTTGAATTTTATTGAAGGTCTTTTCTGCATCTATTGAGATAATCATGTGGTTTTTGTCTTTAGTTCTCTTTACGTGATGAATTATGTTTATTTATTTTGAATATATTGAACCAGCCTAGTGTCTTGGGGATGAAGCCAACTTAATCATGGTGGATGAACTTTTTGATGTGCTGCTGGATTAGGTTTGCCTGTATTTTATTGAGATTTTTTGCATCAATGTTCATCAGTGGTATTAACTTGAAATGGGTTGTTTGTTTGTTCATTTGTTTTTATTGTTTTTTTTTTTTTTTTTTTTTTTTTTGCTGTTGTTGTTTTATCTCTGCCAGGCTTTGGTATCAGGATAATGCTGGCCTCATAAAATGAGTTAGAGAGGAGTCCCTCCTTTTCAATTGTTTGAAATGATTTCAGAAAATATGGTACTAGCTCCTCTTTGTACCTCTGGTAGAACTCAGCTGTAAATCCATCTGTTCCTAGGCTTTCTTTGATTGGTAGATTATTACTGCTTTAATTTCAGAATTAGTTAACAGTCTATTCAGGAATTCAGCTTCTTCCTGGTTCAGTCTTAGGAGGGTGTATGTTTCCAGGAATATATCCATTTCTTCTAGATTTCCTAGTTTACATGCATAGAAGTGTTTATAATATTATCTGATTTTTGTTGGTATTTCTGTGTGGTCAGTGGTGATACCCTCTTTAACAATTTTTATTGTGTCTATTTAATTCTTCTTTGTTTTCTTCTTTATTAGTCTAGCTAGCAGTCCATTTTTTAATTAATTTTTTCAAAAAAACAGCTCCTGGAATTGTTCATTTTTTGAAGGGTTTTTTGTGTGTGTGTGCATGTGTGTGTGTCTCCATCTCCTTCAGTTCTGCTCTGATCTTGGTTATTTCTTGTCTTCTCCTAGCTGTGGGGTTTATTTGCTCTTGGTTCTCTAGTTCTTTTAGTTGTGATGCTAGGATGTCAATTTGAGATCTTCCTAGCTTCTTGAGGTGGGTACTTAGTGCTATACAATTCCCTCTTAATACTGCTTTAGTTGCATCCCCGAGATTCTGGTACATTGTCTCTTTCTTCTCATTGGTTTCAAAGAACTTATTGAATTCTTCCTTAATTTCATTACTTACCCAGTAGTCATTCAGATGCAAGCTGTTCAATTTCCATGTAGTTGTGTGGTTTTGAGTGAGTTTCTTGATCTTTCATTCTAATTTGATTGCACTGTGGTCTGAGAGACTCTTTGTTATGATTTCAGTTTTTTGCATTTGCTGAGGAGCAATTTACTTCCAATTATTGAATCAATTTGAGAGTAAATGCTACATGGTGCCAAGAAGAATGTATATTTTGTTTCTTTTGGGTAGAGAGTTCTGTAGATATCTATCAGTTCCACTTGATCCAGAGAAGAGTTCAAGCCTAAATATTTTTTTAAAATTTTTTCCAATGATCTGTCTAATACTGACAGTGGGGAGTTAAAGTCTGGGAGACTAAGTCTCTTTGTAGGTCTCTAAGAACTTGTTTCATGGATCAGGGTGTTCCTGTATTGGGTGCATATATATTTAGGATAGTTAACTCTTCTTGTTGAATTCAACCCTTTACCATTATGCAGTTCCCTTCTTCGTGTTTTTTGATCTTTGTTAGTTTAAAGTCTATTTCATCAGAAACAAGGATCGCAACCCCTGATTTTTTCTGCTTTCAATTTACTTGGTTAAACTTTCCTCTATCCCTTTATTTTGAACCTATATGTATCTTTGCACATGAGATGGGTCTTTTGAATGCAGCACACTGATGGGTCTTTTCTTTCTATCCAGCTTGCCATTCTGTGTTTTTTAACTGGGACATTCAGCCCAGTTACATTTAAGGTTAAACTTGTTATGTGTGAATTTGATCCCGTCTTCATCATGGTGGCTAGTTATTTTACAGACTTGTTAATGTAGTGGCTTAATAGTGTCAATGGTCTGTGTAGTTCAGTGTGTTTTTATAGTGGCTGGTAATAGATTTGCTTTCCATATTTAGTATTTCCTTTAGGAGCTCTTGCAAGACAGGCCTGGCGGTAAAAAATTCCTTTAGCATTTGCTTGTCTGAAAGGATTTTATTTCTCCTTTGCTTATGAAGCTTAGTTAAGTTGGATATGAAAATTTTTGTTTTTAAGAATGTTGAATATTGGCCCCCAATCCCTTCTGGCTTCTAGGGTTTCCACTAAGATGTTCACTGTTAGTCTGATGGGCTTCTCTTTGTAGGTGGCCTAGCCCTTCTCTCTGGCTGCCCTTAACATTTTTTCCTTCATTTTGACTTTGGAGAATCTGCTGATAATGGGTCTTGACATTGTTCTCCTTATGGAGTATCTTACTGAGAGGTTCTCTGGATTTCCTGAATTTGAGTGTTGGCTTGTCTTGCTAGGTTGGGAAAGTTCTCCTGAATGATATTGTGAAGTATGTTTTCCAACTTGGTTCCATTCTCCCCATCTCTTTCAGGTACCCCTATCAGTTATAGGTTCAGTCTTTTTACATAATCCCATAGTTCTCAGGGCTTTTTGGTTTTTTTTTTCATTCCTTTTCTTTCTCTTTTCTCTAATCTTGTCTGCCTGTCTTATTTTCACAAGATAGTCTACAAGCTCTGATACCCTTTTCTCCACTTGGCCTATTTGGCTATTGATATTTGTAGCTGCATTGTGAATTTCTCATGTTGTGTTTTTCAGCTCCATCAGGTCATTTTTGTTCCTTTCTAAACTGAATATTCTGGTTAACAGCTCCTGTAATGTTTTATCATGGTTCTTAGCTTCTTTGCATTGGGTTAGAACATACTCCTTAAGCTCAGTGAAGTTCATTATTACCCACCTTCGGAGGCCTACTTCTGTCAATTCATCCATCTCAGCCTCACCTCTGTTCTGTGCACTTGCTAGAGAGGTGTTGCAATCATTTGAAACTGAAGAGGCACTCTCACATTTTGAGTTTTCAGCAGTTTTGCATTGATTCTTTCTCTTCTTCGTGGGTTTATCTACATTTGATCTTTGAGGCTGCTGACCTTTGGATGGGGTTTCTGCGGGGTCTTTTGTGTTGATGTTGTTGTTACTTTCTGTTGGTTCGTTTTCCTTTTAACAGTTAGGTCCCTCTTCCTTAGGGTTTATGCAGTTCACTGGGGTACCATTCGAGACCCTATTCCCCTGGGTTCCTGCTGCGCCTGGAGGTATCGCTAGCAGAGGCTGCAGAACAGCAAAGATGGCTGCCTGCTCTTTCCTCAGGGAGCTCCATCCCAGCCAGGCGCGAGCTGATGCTAGCCAGAATGCTCCTGTATGAGGTGTCTGGCGACCCCCGTTGGCAGTTTTCACCTAGTCAGGAGGCATGAGATCAGGGACCTGCTTTAAAAAGCAGGTCCTTTGCTGAGTAGGTTCAGCTGCACTAGGGAGAATCCCCCTCATCCAGACTGCCAGCAGGCAGGAAAGACTAAGTCTGCTGAACCACAGGACTCTGTCTGCCTCTCCCCCAAGGTGTTCCTTCCCAGGGATATCAGAGTTCTGTCCATAAACCCCTGGCTGGAGTTGCTGTAGTTCCTGTGGGAGGCCCTGCCTGGTGAGGAGAGATAAATCGGGTCCCACCTATAGAAACAGTCTGGCCACGATCCGCCACAGCCGCTGTGCTGTGCTGTGGGAAATTCCTCTCAGTCCAAACTGCCCAGTGTCCCTGACACCACCAGTGGGAAATGGCTGACTGGAGCCACAGTGATGGTGGCCAACCCTCCCCGCAGGAACTCAGTCATCTTAGGCAGTGTCCCGCCTGCTGCCAGTGGCCATAACCTGAGTGGGTTGTACAGCTCTTTGCTTGAGACCCAAGGCCCTGGTGGCATGGGCTCATGAGGGGATCTCCTGATCTGCAGGATGCAAAGATCCATGGAAACAGCTTGGTTTCCCAGGTGGGGTAGTACTTTCACTCGTCACCTCCTTTGGCTGGGTGTGGGAGTTCCCTTTATCCCAGGTGGCTCCTGGGTCATTGCTCCACCCTGCTTTTCCTTGCTCTGCGTGGGTTATGACAACTGACTTAGTCATTCCCAGTGAGAGGACCTGGATACCTCAGTTGATGGAGCAGGATTCACTGGCTGTTTTCCTTCTTCTCGGTGGGAGTCACACAGTGGAGCTGTGTCTAATTGGTCATCTTGGGTCCTCCTCTCTGAATTATTTAGTGATATTCCTCAAAGTTGTGTTGCTGGAAAAGAACACCAAAACTGACCACTGTAAATTGTATAAAATGCAATCTTAGTTTCGCCTGTTTCACTTGTGTACCACCCCTTTTATGTCCTTCCACCTTCAAAAATCATGGAATACTTTATTTTTTCACATAATCAAACCATATCAATCAGTATTTCCTTTTCACCATTTCCTGGAATCTGCATTTTTCAGGAATCACAGCTTCACTGTCAATTAAATTTTATATTCTCATCTTAATTTGACTTCATTCTTACAGCACAATTATTCCTCTGTTTCTGCAACAATCTTTTGTGCTGTCGTGGTTTTCAAGTTGATACAGTCCATTATCCCTAGCTGCCTTTGCCTCTTTCCAAAATAAGCTCCTAGAATAGCTCAAGGCCCAATCCTAGGAAAATTTACTCTTGTATTCTCTCCCTGGTGATGTCATCCTATGTAACGATTACCTTGAATTTGCTTTTGTACCTTACAATTTTTTTTGAGGTTCAGATTCTTCAAAACTCTAAATGACTTTTTAACATTTGAATTGGATGTTTCCAAATATCTGAATAAAATATGTTTAAGGTAGAATTCTCATTCTTTCCCCAAAAAACTTATTCTGATATCCGTTTTTTTTTCTTTTTCCAGCTTCATGATACGACAACATTTTCTAGCAACTAATTTAAACAACAACAGGAAAAGAGGAAATATTTTTTATATCCTCTCTTCTCTCTTTTCATCACTACAATATGCAATCTCTGTGAATGTCTGCTCTATGTTTCTCTTACCACAATTTTAATACAAGCTTTGCCTTTAATTGTTAGAGGGCATATATAGCTTTTATTCTAGTATCTTAATGAAGGATCTCACTTTAAAATACTCTTTCATTTTTCATTTTATTCTTCTTCAAGGTACAGTTTCCAAATTAACTATATTATATATATATATATATATATATATACTGTAAACTGTATACTGTTAACTATATATATACTGTTAACTGTATATATATACACTATATATACACTGTTATATATATATACTATATATACTGTTAACTACATATATACTGTTCACTGTATATATATATATACATATGTAGTTAATTTGGAATTTTGGAATTATATACATATACACACACACAAAGATACACACGTAAATATACAAACAAACACATACATGTATACATAATTATATACATACATATCTGTATTCATTAAAACAACAGTTATTTTTCTAAATAAAAGACTAGATTGCAAAAGATACTAGAAATATTATACATCATTTTTACTAAATACATAAAACACATAGTTACAAAAGGTAGAATTTTTGTACCTCACATAACCTTATTTTGCCAATTTTCTCCTCTGTAAAATATAGATAAAAGCATTTACTTCCCAAGATTACCATGAGTTTCAATTAGATGAAGTACATAAAAGGTTTGGTAAAATGTATGCCCATTAAAATTCATCTATAGGTGTTTATTTTAATCACTCTCTTCATTTGAGTTTTGAAGGATCTAATGTGGTAATATTTTGTATAAAATATCATTACTCTTTATGTTATGGTGGTTTTTAAACATTATAACAGAAAATTGTAAGAACCTATTACATTTTACATTAGTCTATAAAATTATTTAGTATCCTCAATTGTCAAATTTAATTGTAATTTTAGCTTAGAAATAATCATTAATGAATGCACAATGGAAAGAAATTATCCACAGACTATCTGATTAACTTAAGGATTTTACATTTCTTTACTTTATTATTTCCCTTGGCTGTGCTGGTTTATTGTTAAAAAATGACAAAGATTAACCAGACAAGGACAATGTAGCAACCCATCACTGTGATCTGAGGGCCAATTAAACAGAATCATTCATGTCATCCATTAAAGTTCCTTGGAACAGAAAACAGGATGAAAAATAAGTTACCAGACATTTCTGAAGGAACTAAAAACATTATACTGTTGTGATTCATTTTTAAGATACAAAATAGATATTCTCATGTTAAGGCTATCGCTAAGAAATACAGTAATCACGTGAGCCTTGAGTTTTTGTAAGTTGCTGTATTGTAATTATCATATGGAAACTTTGATGCATTGCTTGATGTATGTTTATATTTTTAAAAATTGACAATTCTGAAATAATATATTGTTTTCGTTTTGAGACAGTGTCTTGCTCTGTTACCCAGGCTGGAGTGCAGTGGCCTGATCTCAGCTCATTGCAGCCTCAACTTCCTGGGCTCAACTGATTCTACCACCTCAACGTCCTGAATAGCTAGGATCACAGATGTGAGCCACCATACCTGACGAATTTTTGTACTTTTGTTTTACTTTGTGTGTGTGTGCGTGTGTGTGTGTGTGTAAATGGGTTTTTGCCATGTTGCCCAAGCTGGTCTTAAACTCTTGAGCTCAAGTGAACCACCTGTCTCGGCCTCCCAAAATGCTGTGATTGCAGACATGAGCCACTGCACCTGGTCTGAATTCATTTTCTTGGAGCATACTGGAAAACTTCTTCATTGTGCAGTTAATTCTTCTGTTTTAAAAATGTGCACAGAAAGGCATAATTAATAAATTTTTATATAAAAATATTTTTGACATATGTACCAAATATATTCCAAAAACTAATTACATCTGATTAAATTTTAACTACCCATTTAAATACAAAAAAACCCTATTTTTAGTTACCTATGTAGTTTAGAGGATGAAATAAATGATTTTAAACACCATAGATTATTTATTATTATACATTTTAATATTGAGGTGGTTTCTTTTATTAAAAATAAGACATGTAGTTAGTAGACTATTTACAGTATTAAAACTAAGACCAACGTTATTCTAGTAAAGACATACTTTAAAGAGTTAAACTGGCCGGGAGTGGTGGCTCACGCCTGTAATCCCAGCACTTTGGGAGGCCGAGTCGGGCGGATCACAAGGTCGGGAGATCGCGACCATCCTGGCTAACACGGTGAAACCCCGTCTCTACTAAAAATACAAAAAATTAGCCTGGCGTGGTGGCGGGCGCCTGTAGTCCCAGCTACTCCGGAGGCTGAAGCAGGAAAAGGGCGTGAACCCGGGAGGCGGAGCTTGCAGTGAGCCAAGATCGCACCACTGCACTCCTGCCTGGGCGACAGAGTGAGATTCTGTCTCAAAAAAACAAAACAAAAACAAACAAACAAAAAAAGTTAAACTTAAAAATTAGATATGTGTTTTTTTTTCTGCACAAACAGACAATAGTTCGAAATTTTCTGACCATCTCTAATGACAGATCATTATAAGTATACTGCCTAGTAGATATTTCCTGGCAAACCATTGACTACAAATAACTGCTTTATGTTCTTATAAATTTTATTATTTTATTATTATTTGAGATCGAGTCTTGCTCTGTCGCCAGGCTGGAGTGCATTGGCGCAATCTCGGCTCACTGCAACCTCCGACTCCCTAGTTCAAGAGATTCTCCTGCCTCAGCTTCTGGAGTAGCTGGGATTACAGAGACGCACGATCACGCCCAGATAATTTTTGTATTTTTAGTACAGACAGGGTTTCACCATGTTGGCCAGGGTGGTCTCGATCTCCTGACCTTGTGATCCGCCTGCCTCGACCTCCCAAAGTGCTGGGATTAGAGGCATGAGCCACTGCGCCTGGCCAAAATCGTTTTTGAAATAATTGTAGATTGATAGCAAAACCAGATGGTACAGAAAGCAACCATCTGTCCTCAATCAGCTTCCCTTAATGATACCATCAGATAAATAAAGTATATCTGTCTAAATTAAGAAATTCTATTTAGTCAAATTCCATTAATTAAATAATGAACACTATTTTGTATATTAATAGTTTTCTTTAGCTAAAATTCTTTTTCTGTTTCAGAACTCAACCCAGACTATCATGTTGCGTTTAGTTACACACGTATGTTTATATTAGCTATATTTATATCATCTACCTATATTTATCTACATATACCAATAAAGTTTAACCTTTCTGTTAATTATAAGTCTATCCCTTCTAAATTATCAAATTTACGGATGTACAGTAGTTCCCAGTATAATTTTATTATTCTCTAAATAACTGTGGGATTGATAGTGGTGATGCTCTCTCTTCTATTCCTGATATGATAATGTATTAATTTCCTATGGTTGTTTTAACAAATGACACAAAGATTAAATTTATGTTCTTATAGTTCCGGAGTCTAGAAGTCTGAAATCAGTTTCACTGGTTTAAAATCACAGTGTCAGCTTTGGCATGTTCCCTCTGGAGGCTCTAGGGGACAAATCACTTCTGGCCTCTTGGCTGCCCACATGCCTTGACTGCGTTTGATTGTCACAGTATCCTTAGGGTGTTACATTTCCAGCTCAATATCTCTGTGGCCAGTACACCTTTGTCAGAGTTTTACTTTTGCCTATGGGGCTCATTGTACCCACTCAGCCCAGCAGGCTGCGCTCTGCTCACACTACCAGCCCAGATCCCAAGCCTGCCAAGGCTGAACCAGGTGCGCAGTAGTGAAGGGTTTGTGAGTGAGTGTAGGGTCTGGCCACTGTGCACAGCCAGGCACATCAGTTGCAGTGGGGCGGGCAGCTCCAGACGCTGGCACAGACACCGGCTCCTGACGAGGTGGTGGCTGGACCAGGCATACCACAGGCGGCTTCCACTGCAGGCACTGGGGAACAGGATGGTGGTCAGAAGCTTGGATACACCAGGAACCGCAGATCCCCAAAGAGAGTGTCACAGCCCTCCCTCAAGAAGCTCCTATCACCATCAATGGCGGCCTGGCTGTTTGCACCAAGGGGTGAGTGCGGGCCAGTTCCGAGCTGCCCTCAGCACCCCAATACCCTCCCCACCCATGCCTCCCTCCTGTGCTTATCAGCGCCCAAAGTCTTGAGGGGCAGAGATGGCAGAGGGGATCTTGTGTGTCAGTGCTGCCCTGAGCACACGCATACCTGGCCGGGATGCAACATCACCCATGCTTGGCCACAACTTTGCTCCAAAATAAGAGCCAGGAGCAGGGAGGGGCCAGGGAGCAAGAGCAGGTGCTTTGGAACCTGCAGGAGCAAGGGGGACTTCCTGGACCCCTGAGAGGGCAGGTATGCCTAGGTCCAGAGCCGCAGCTGGGCATCTGCAGCTGTGCCCAGGAAGATAGGGCTCCTGCCCAGCCAACTTGGTAGGGGTTGGGGCTCCCACCTGCTCCTGGCTCCTGCCAGCTTCTGAGGAGCACACAGCCAGATGGGCAGCCACTTCCATCATCACGACACTTCAATGTCTGCCCCCATAGTCAAATTGGCTTCTCCTCTTATGTCTGTGTCAAATCACCCTCTTATGATCATACAAAGGGTTGCATTAGGGCCTACCCTTTTCTTCCAAGATACTCTCTCCATCTCAAGAGTCATACGTTAATCACATCAGCAAAGACCCTGTTTCCATGTAAAGCAGTATTCAAAATTTCCGGGGATTAGAATGCGGGCCTCTGTAGGTGGGGCATTTTTCATCCTCTTACGATAATTTTTGTCTTATCTACTTTTTTTTAATGTGTTGACTTGATTCATTATTTGAATTTTTATTAATTTAATTTGCAATCTATTGATTTTTGTGCTATCAAAATCATTTTCTTCCTTCTATGTGCTTTGAGTTCATTTTGCTTTTCTGCCTCTTGTCTTTTCAGATGGAAGCAGAGGGTAGTGATTTTAAATCTTTCTTTTTCTAATATAAGCCTTTAATGTTATAAGGTTTTCACTAGGCACTGCTTTAATTTCAGTTCACAAATTGTGATGTTTTATTCTTTACTTTCAATTTTTAAAAATACATGTACTTAAGAAATTTTACATTTTTCTTGAATCTTGCTCTTGGATTCTGTGTTTAGCTGTGTGTTTAATTTCCATGTATTAAGTAATTTCCAGATATATTTAGGTTATTGATTTCTAATTACATTTTCTTGTTTTTAGAGCATACTGTATAGGATTTCAATGTGTGTATTTGTTGTATTAAGGTTTATTTAATGACTCCAAGTATAATCTGTTGTGGTGAATCATCAATGTTCTCTTGAGATGAATGTGTTTCTTTATTCTCATTGGGTGTAGTGTTCTAAAATGTCAATTAGATCAAGCTGATTTTTCATGTCATAGAAATTGTTGCTTATTTTCTGCTGGCTTGTCTATAGTTTACTGAAAAATAAGTAAAATATTCCACTGTAATTGTGCACATATCTACTACTCCTTCCAGATCTAGCATTTTCTTGGCCTCACAAATCTTGAACGTCTGTTGTTAGTTACATACACGCACTGGATTGGTGTATCTTCACACAGGATTGGTGTGAAGATAATTGTTATCTTCACAATTATCTAATGTCACTCTTTGTCCCTTGTAAGTGTTGTTTTGAAATCTACTTTGTCTGAAATTAATACAGCCAGTCTAGCTTTATTTTGAATTAGTATTTAAATGGAATATCTTTCTTCATCCTTTTAAGTAAAAATCTGTATCTTTTTATTTACATTGGAATGTTTGTCGTAAGAATATAGCTGAGTTCTACATTTCTTTATCTGATTTAACAATCTATCCCTTAACAACTGAGTTTAGACCATTCACATTTAATCTGATCATCAAAAATTTTTGATTAAAATATATCATCTCTCTAGCAGTATTCTATGTTTCTTTTGTTATTTGTTTCTTTCCCACTTTTCCAACCATATAATATACTTAGTTTTAGTTTTAACTAAGTATATTATAGTTTTGTGGCTTTTATATGTCTATTTTCATATTTTTTATCTTTTTTTTCAGCAGTATCTCTATGGTTGACAATACACATTTGTAAATAATCAGAGGCTATATTAACAAAATATTATGCCACTCACATACAGTTTATGGACCTTATGTTTCCAATATCTTTCTCTCATTCCATATTCCATTACTGTTATTTTAATTTTATACTTGTATATTATTATATATGCATTAGTACACATGTATATTGTTACCATTTTGCATTAAAGAATCAAGTATCATTTATTCCATGGGCAAGTCTCTATTCAGTATAGATCCAAGTTTCTGACTATATCACAGTTTTTTTTTCTGCTTGAAGAACTTTCTTAAACATTGTCTGTAGTGTAGTTCTACTGGCAAGGAATATGGGAATAAACAAATCATTCAGGTTTTGTTTGTCACAGTGTGTCTTTTTATTGTAATTTGGAAAGATTCTTTCACTGGTGTTGAGGTTGACAGGTGTTTCATTTAACATATCAGAGATGTCACTCCATTGTCTTCTTATTCACATGGCTTTTGATGATAAGTCTGCTGTATTTCTTATCATTGGCTCTCTGAAAGCAAAATGCCTTTTTATCTGTCTTAAAAATTTTCTCATAGACTTCACCAGTCAGCAGTTTGACTATAAAATGCTTAGGGCTGTGTGTTTATGTGTGTGTGTGTGTGTGCACATTCACACGTGTGTATATGCAAGCCTGTTTGTATATTTTGGGTTTTTTTCCAGCTTGATACTAAGTTACCTTAGAACAAGTTTGCAGCTTGGCATTACTTCTGCAAATGTGTCACCCATTATTTCATTAAACATTTCTTCTTTAAAAATTCCAATTATGCATAAATTAGAATATTTTATATTGTGCCAAAGATCTAGAATTTTTTTTGTTTCTCTTTTTTCTTTTCATTTTAATTGGGCTGTTTAATCATTGTTTATTCAACATTACTGATTTTTTCCTCAACTATGCTGAGTCTACTTATGAGTTTATTGAAGATCTTCATTTCTACACATTGTTCTGATTTCTATATTTTCTACTTGATTTTTTTCTTATGGTTTCCATTTTGTGGCTGGAATTATCTCTCTGGGGCTCTCTTTTCTATTAAAGGCTTTAATATATTAAGCATAGTTATTGTAATTACCATGTCAGTCCTATATCTATGTCGTGTCTGACCCTGTTTCTCATAATTGATTTCTGCTATCTTTTTGTGTGCTTCATAATTTTTGTTGTTATTGTTCAGAACAAGTCCTGGCATATAGGACATGGTCATGCTTATTTCAAACACTTTTTAAAAGAATGTTTTCCCCTGTTTTAGTTCTAAATTGATATTATTTTATTTTTTATTTATTATTTTATTTATGCAGTTTTCTGAAGTATCTTCTAGTACACAAATTACACTATTTTTACTAACTTACTGTTACCAATTTAACTTTCACATTATAACTTAGAAAGAAGATGTGTATGATTTTGTTATCTGGCATTTGCTAAGACTTCTTTTGTTGTAAGTACATGGTCAACTTTAATTCTATCTGTACTTGAAAAGAATGAAAAAGAATGACTCTTTTCTCAAGTAACCTTTTAAATGTAATCTTTATTAAAATTTATTTCACAAGTAAGCTTTATGCTGTATATCAACTCTTGGCCATATCAGATCTCAGTATTTTTTAAACAAATGCTAGGTTAATATTTTTAGTACTACTCATAACTCATGCATCTACACATCCACATTTTGAAAGCTCCTATTTTATTTTAAAACTGCCACTTTAGGACCATAAATGTGAAAAGATACACATTTTCTCTGAAGGACACTGTATGTAGAAACTAACCAAAAATTTCTACCTTAATAAAATTTCTACCATAAATTATTAATCTATGTTTGTGTGTATATGTGTGTGCTCACACATATGTATATACATGGAGGAGACTTAAAGACATTGTGGTTATTTCAGCAGTTTTATGAACAAGAAGGTCAGGGGATGGAACATGTGTATTATTTTAAAGATCCCTTCAACTTCTTCAGAGTAAGAGTAGAACTACACTATTTCAGAATTCCTCTCAACTTGCTTTTCTAATTAATTAATTCAATTCCATAATTAGCAAACAAAGAATTAGGCATATAAATGAACATGATCATACACAATAGTTCCTTAAATTATAATGAGGACTTTTAAAAGTATATATGTTTTCAGCATGGTACATCTTAACATGTTAACAAAAAAAGAAAAATATTTTTTACTTATTCCTTATCTAATGGTGAGTTTTATTTTTTTCTGTTTTTGAACATGACATTCTGAATTATTACAGTGTATTCTATAGCTGAAAACTGGCTTTTCAGTTAAAATACTTTATTCAAGTGTTTTCCAGTGTTTGAAAATGCACATTGGTTACCACCTTTACCCTTTCTATTGTAAATCTTCAATGCCTGATCTCATCTTAATCCAATCTTCTTTTTTGTTTCTCTCCTGGATCAGATAACATAAATGGATTTCTTATAAGACCCTTTACGTTTGATGATACCTTGTTTTCTGAGATTGCAGTAATCAAGGAGAGGAATGAAAAACAAAGTCATTGAGAAAAAAGTGCATCAATCTCCTTTTTAGTCAACGATGAATGTGACAGGGAGACTATGAACAGCCAGTAGCCAAAGTTGTATCAGCATCTATGCAGCAGCAGCAGCATCTTCTGGACAAAAAGAAAATATGTAAACTAACAGCAATGAGACTGTAATTAGTGGAAAATAGGCACTTGCCAATAAAACTCAATTTTTTTTCAAATTGTTGTTAGAAATGTAAATAAATAAAACAGAAAATAGAAATTAAATGAGCTATGGTAGGCGTTTATATATCTCTAAGTTAATCTTTCGCTTAAATTTTGGACTCTGAATATGATATAACATTTCTAATTTCTTAAAGAAGTAAATTATTTCAAATAATTGTGAAATATAATTAGATTATTCTATTACAAATAATTATGTGTACATTTTGCTTAATATTTACCTTGTGACAACTACATCATCTTTTTCAGCTGGTATTTTATCCTGCCAACTTGTACTAAATTTTGTAAATTAACACTGTAATAGATTATATGCAATTAACAATGTCATGAACACATGGTTATTTTATATATAATGAGTTGGCTTATTTGTTAATAGGTTTTCTCAATAATGTAATAAGCAAGTCAAGAGATATTTAAAAATCTCAATTTTTGACTTTAGAGACTTGAAATAAAACTGTTATTTTTGTCTTTTAAAGATATTGGTAGAACCCTCTGCAAAGACAGTTAGGTAGGAGGAGAAGAAAAAGTAACAATTATATTTGAATAAGTTTCTTTTGTTTTTCCAGGCGGAAATGTTATAGGAATATACTTCAGCATTTTTATAAAGAAGGTACTTAGCTTAGGCATACAGAGCACACAGTGGCACATAATAATTGCACCACTGCTTTACCAGTACCAGAATCAGGCATTCACTGGAACAATTTTATGATTTTGTAACAACAGAAGCAGTTTTCTCAAGTTCTGCTTTTTTTGGCCAAATATGCTTTCTTTTCATTAATCCAAAATCTACCTGTGTGAAGAATCTTAATTTTTTTCTAGCTTAGGGAGAAATAACACATGGCAACATTAACGAACAATGTGGACTTTACTATATGATTTTGTAAGACTTGAATTTAGCAAGACAGGTATGCCCCAGAAAAACTTTAAAATTGTAGTAAGCACTAATATCTTCATTGTCTTCTGCCTGGAGCAGTGTGACAAACTGCCTGCTCACTCTGCAAAAACTTTACATTTTCATCTCCCTTGTTTTTCAGCGTTGCTTCTTTGTTTATGAGCAAGCAACCAGGTTCTAGATGTTGAGATCCTCAAAATATTTTCTCAATGAAGACCAGCCTCTAATTGAGAACATTTTTGTATTAGCTGCTTAGAGAATGAAGTAGTCTTCACATAATTACGTACAGTAAATCTAGCCTTTCCAAACACACACATATACATGTACACATTCACAAACTTTTTCTCTTTTCTGCTCCATAAAAATCTTTTCATTTGGAGATTCTAGAAATTAATTTTTTGAAATCAGAAAATTTTCCAGGTGCTTACATATTAAATATGCCAAGCTTCAGGTGTGAGAGAATTAGGTGATTCCTGGAGCAAAGTCTGAAATGTCTTACATTTTCAAAATGATTTTTAAAGTTCATGTGAAAAATTCAAACCTGTGTATTTCTTAGCACAGTGTATGTTACGTTGTACGATGATATTTTATGTTTTTAATGTAAGTAGTATTCCGTGAAAATACGAGCTAATACAAAAAGATTTCTCTTTCATTTTTATTTATTTATTTTTTGAGACAGAGTTTCACTCTTGTTGCCAGGCTGGCGTGTAATGGCATAATCTCAGCTCACTGCAAACTCTGCCTCCCGGGTTCAAGTGGTTCTCCTGCCTCAGACTCCCAAGTAGCTGGGATTACAGGCGCCCACCACCAGGCCTGGCTAATTTTTTTGTATTTTTTGTAGAGACAGAGTTTCACCATGCTGGCCAGGCTGGTCTCGAACTCCTGACCTCAAGTGATCCACCCCACTCCTTGGCCTGCCAAAGTGTTGAGATTACAGCTGTGAGCCGCCGCTCCCGGCCAAAAAATTTTCTTTTCTATATATATATATATATCTGGGCTTGGACTGTGCTAACTCTTTGTGGGCATATACCTCAAAAATATTTTGTGATGTGATCATCTTCATGAAGCTTCCTTATGTAATATAACAGGTTTTGGCTGTAGAAAAGATTACTTTCCAAATATACATCACTGAAAAGACAGAAATAAGATAGGAGGGGATTATTTTACTCTCTATTGCATCCACTTCCTGACGTCTGCATTTTGCCTGTTTTCATGTGTGCTGTCTGATTTGTTACAGGGTGCTAGTCTCTAGATACATTATCTGCATTCTACCTGTAGATCTCTCCTTTGTTCTTTGCACGTTGACAACTCACTTTCCTTTCCTGGAACCACTCCCTTCAATGGACATGGAGGGTGGGATCCAAAAGCATGGTTTTTAGGCACTTTAATCAGAAACTTTACGTATACTACAGCCTTCTTTTTCCCACAATGCAAGAATATTCTTCTGGATGAGAAGAATGAAGATTTAGGAGTATTGCGCAGAAGACCCTCAGACTTGTCTTGGTATAAAGGCTTTATAGAGTCTTGCTGAAAGCAACACATAACTCAGAATTTTTGGAAGTGTTTTTAAGCATTCCATCAATGTCAAATGTTTTTTCCTCTGACCACAGAAAGGACCTAAAGAGGGGTTGATAGTGACAGAACTGGGTGTTGATGGAAAGAATGTGCCCTAACTGGGTTTGTCTAGGTTAACCACCATGTAATAATGAAAATATTGACAGTTACTTAAAATATATTCTAGTAAAGTAGAAATCTCACATTTCTCTTTTACAGGATCCCTTCAAAAATGCCTGGAAAAAAATCTGAGATCATTGACATCAGGTTAATTCATAGTGAGTCTATACACCATAGCTAAATGGAATGTTCCATTTTTATATTTCAAATAATACTGTGTTTAATAGTGTTGTCCAAGAAGTATCAGCATTGGAATAATATGAAGTGAAACAAACAAAAAAAAACCTGAGACTTTTAATCAGTACGTTTAGAAAGAAATTATAAATTTTAAGCTTAAAAAGCTTTGGAGGCAAGGAAACTCAGCAATTTGGATAGGCCTTGGCCTCAGTCTGAAGGAGAATGGAGCCAGTCACTTAATAGCCTTGTATAGTCAGCACACAGCGCTCTGCCTCTGAATAAGACAGGCTGTGCTGTAGGTTTCGGCTTAATCACACGAATGGAAGAAACAAGTGTGTATGCCACGAAGTAATTTAATAAATCTTCTAAGTAAATATTTCAAAGCCAAATCTATGCTACATCATTCATCTGAGCCAAGCAGGTGTATGGTTTCATTTCTCTGTCTCTCTCTCGCGCTCTCTCTCTCTCTCTCTTCCTCTTTCCATCTCAGTCATTAATTTCTGCTGGGAGATATAGACACATACAACACACAACATTTTGGAAAAATGATGATGGCTGTACATGGTCGTTTAAGAAAATTTGCACAAACATAATACAAATATTTTAATTTTGAAACAATTTAAAGCCTTGCATACTGATTTTATTCAAGTTTATTGTTTCTAGACAGGCAAAAATAATGTAATCAAAGTGCGTAAGTGGTATAACAGTAATTTAATAATGGTAAAATCCAACAATTACAATTAGATAAATTTATATTCTAGGATGGTATATCAGTAAAATTAACTGATATTGCCTGGTTGAGTGTTCGTTGGAAACCACAGTGGATTTCCTTGCCCAGGTCACCATGTGCAATGGTTTTAGAAAGTGCTTTATATTTACTATGAAACAAATAAGTTTTATTTATTTACTTATTTATTTATTTTTTCTGAGACCGAGTTTTGCTCTGTTGCCCAGGCTGGAGTACAGGGGTGTGATCTTGGCTCACTGCAACTTCCACGTCCCAGGTTCAAGTGATTTTCCCACATCAGCCTCCCAAGTTGCTGGGATTATGTGCGCGCCACTAAGCCAAGCTAATTTTTTGTATGTTTAGTAGAGACGGGGTTTCACTATGCCGGCCAGGCCAACGTAGTGAAAGGAACTCTTTTCACTCCTGACCTCAGTTGATCCGCCTGCCTCAGCCTCCCAAAGTGATTACAGGCGTGAGCCACCACGCCCAGCCAATTTTAAATTTTTTATATGGGATATTTATGCATTAGAATCTCAGATATACTTTTTATTTGTATTTAATGTAAGCGTAAATTTTAAGAATAAAAAACCTATAACCTGGTATTTTTATTAGAGATATATTGCATCCTAGACCTTCCAGAACATTACCAGAATTTATACAGGATTTTTTTCTTCTTTCTTTTTCTTTTTTTTTTTTAGGAGTCTCGCTCTGTCACCCAGGCTGGAGTGCAGTGACGCAATCTCGGCTCACTGCAAGCTCCGCCTCCCGGGTTCACACCATTCTCCTGCCTCAGCCTCCCTAGTAGCTGGGACTACAGGCGCCCGCCACCACGCCCGGCTAATTTTTTTTTGTATTTTTAGTAGAGACGGGGTTTCACTATGTTAGCCAGGATGGTCTCGATCTCCTGACCTCGTGATCCGCCCCTCTTGGCCTCCAAAAGTGCTGGGATTACAGGCGTAAGCCACCACACCCAGCCAAGTTTTTTATTAACAATTGATAACTTAGAAACAAATTCTTATAACTTTAAAATTAGTATATATTATGATGTTTGTATAAAATTAAAAGAGAATGATATATTTTAATTTTTTTATATTAAAGAATAATAGTAATAAATTTAAAAAAATTTTATGTTCCATAGGTTTTTCATTTCCCCCTAGCATTTTATGGAAGAATCAAAAGAAATGTAAAGTAACAATGTAACTTTGTCCTGTGTCAGAAATTTCATGTAGTAGAAAGAAAAATAGTTTTGAAGCAATAAATAAGTTATGTCAATAGAATATCATTGTTGTTCTGGCATTAGACCAGTAAAAGTCTTGAATTTTAGGCCCACGGTTGCCTCACTGTAGCCTATAAAACAAAATTTTCCTTCAAAGACTGCATATTTCTCTTTAAAAGTTATGGCCTTATCTAGATTATCTATAAAATGTATGACAATACTGAAACTATAGTGCTAGATTTAGAAATTCAGTTCTTCAGATCTCAGATTTTTGTATTTAAATTTACAAACCGAAAAATCTTTGCAATGTGCTTTTCATGATAAATGACTTCCTTATTATGATAATACTTTAATTATTTAAAATGCTTCATTGAGTTATCTAATTAATCACCTATTAGACTTCAATATACAAAGAAAATGAAATTCAATTAAAATATGAAAGGATAGATTGCATGTAATTGCTAAACTTAAAGTAGGCAGAAAAACAGGAAAAGTATAGAACAAAGAAGAAAAGAAGAAAGGAGATAAATAGCAAAAATAGAAGATTTAAACTGAATCATATCTATTAAATGCAAAAGCTAGTGTCAGATCAATTTTTTAAAACAGTTTCACTGTGTTGTGTTATGCAATTGAAACTTTCACACATTGTTGGTGGGAGAGGATATTTATTTAACCATTTTTGACAACGGATTATGTGTAATAAATCCAAACATATGCCTACCCTATGCTCCAACAATTGCACTTTTATATCTTCTCACAGGAGAAATAAATGTATGTGGTGACAAAATGATATATAGAATGATTTCCTAGCATTTACACATGCTAGTCCAGACTAGAAACCAGACAGACATTTGTAAATTTATGGATAAATATTTCTGATATATTTATGTAATCGAATATTACATAGCAAGAACAAGAATGAAATAATGATATATGCAACAGTATGTATGGATCTTGCAGTTATTTTTTGTATATAAGAAGGCAGACAAAAGATTATAATCTATATTACTTCATTTAAATGCACTTCCAGAAAAGTGAAAAATAATATATAATGCTAGAATTCAGAAGAGTAATTATAACAGCATTAACCAGATGTAATTTATATATCAAAAACTTCAGCTTTTAAAGTGTACAATTCAATGGTTTTCACAATATTCACAAAGTTGTTCAACTAATAGCAGTATCTAATTTTAGAAAGACTTTATCACCGTAAAAACAACAACAGCAACAAAAATACATACCCATTAGAAGTCAATCTCCATTCCCCACTAACTCTAGCCACTGGCAACCACTGAACTTTCTCTCTCAGTGAATTTTGTCTGCAAAATATTTTATGTGAACCGAAACATGAAATGCGTGGCCTTTGTGAATGGTTTTAACTTTGTGGTAGACATTGATACTATGTAGTATTCCTACTTCACTTTTAAAATTAGAAAATAGTATTTCATTGTAGGGCTATACCATATTTTACCCATTGAACAGTTGATGAACTTTTGTATTTTTTCCACATTTTGGTGATTAAGGATAATGCTGCTATATGTAAAAGTTTCATGCAAATATATTTTTATTTCCCAGGGTATATGCCAAGGGGTAAAATTGCCAGGTCAATTAGTAACTGTAGGTTTCATTTTTTGAGAAATTGCAAAACTATTCTCCAAAGCAACTGCAGCATTTTACCTTCAACTAGGGATCTACAGGTGTTCTAATGTCTCTACTTTCTCATTAACAATTGTTACTTTCTTTTTAGCCATCATAGTGAGAGTGAAATGTTATCAAATGGTAATTATGATTTGCATTTTTCTTGTGATGAGTGATATGAATCCTCTTTTTATGTAATTACGACCATCTTTGGAGAAATACTTATTCAAATATTTTGCTTTTTTGTGTGTGTGTATGTTAGAGCTAATTTTATTTATAATGTGAGTTGTAGGTCTTCTTTATAGAGTTTGGATATGTCTCTTATCAGATATATACTTTGCAAATATGTATTTTTTTTTCCTTTGGGTTGTCTTTTCACTTTCTTAATGCTGTTCTTTGAAACACAAGGTTTTGATTTTGATGAAAGGGAATGGTTTATTAGAAAAACACCTCTTAATCCCTTTTCTGTTCTCTTGTACTTTTGGTGTTTTTCTAATAAACCATTCCCTATCTGAAAAACAGAAAGATTTGCTACTATGTCTCTTTTTTTCTAAGAATTCTAAGGTTTTCTCTATTATGTTCTGGTGAAAGTTCAATTCTATGTTAATTTTTATAGATGAAATGAAGTAGGGTTCCAAATTCATTCTTTTGCATGTGCATATTCAGTGGTCCCAGTAATATTGTTTGAAAAGACTATTCTTTCCCTATCAAATTATTTTGATAATATTGCAAAAATTAATTGTTTATGAAGATGTTCATTTTTGGACACTAAATTCTACTCCATTGATTTATATGTCTATGCTTATGCCAGTATCATATCAATTACTGTAACTTTGTAATACATTTTGAAATAAAAAATGTAATTTCTCCAACTTAGTGTTTTTCAAGATTTTTTGGCTGTGTTCATCTCACAGTTATTTGAATTTTAGAATTTTCTTATCAGTTCTTATAAAATGAAAGCTGGGATTTTGTAAGCATTCTTTTTAATGTGGAGAATTATTTGGGATGTATTGCCATTGTAATTAAGGCATCCAGTTCAAGCATATAAAATGTAGTTCCATTCATTTGGACCTACTTGTGTGTTTTCAATAAAGGTTTAGAGTTTTCAAATTAGAAGTAATTTTATTATTTTAACTTATTCTTAAATATTTTTGAACCTATTATAAACAAATATGTTTTAATAACATTTTCACTTTGTCTGTAGAAGGTATCTATATATACGACTGATTTTTGTACACTCATCTTAAATTTTGTTAGTTTTATAAACTTGTATGTTAGTTATGAAAGTTTTGTCTGTGGGGTGTGTGTGTGTGTATGTGTGTGTGTGTATTCCTTAGGAGTTTTCCATATATTAGATCATGGCATATGTGGAGAGATAGTTTTATTTATTTCCAGTTCATCAGGATACATATTATCTCTTTTTTCTGTATTAATGGCCCGGTTTAGAACCTCTAGTATAATGTTGAGTATAAGTAACAAGAGCAGATGTTCTGTTTTCGTTTGAAATCTTAGAGGGGAAGCATTTAAGTCTCATCATTATGTATGATGTTAATTGTTATTTTTCAGAAAAGCCAACTAGTTTCAGATTGAGAGTTATTTTCTACACTCAGTTTGGTAGCACATTTTAATAAAGAAAGCATGGTGGAATTTATCAAAAGATTTTCTTTATTTCTATTGAGATTATCATTATTTAATTTTGTCTTTTATTCAATTACTGTCATGTATTACGCTGAATGATTTTACAGGTTGAACCACTTTTATTCCTGGAATAAATTTGTCTTGGTCGTTCTGTATAATCCTTTTTATACGGTGCTGGTTCTGGTTTGGTAGTATGTTCAAAATTTTTGTCTTTATTTATAAGGCATATTGATGCGTAGTCAGCTATTTTTTTCAAATAAAGTTTTTACAATATTTCTCTACAATCCTTTAATTTCTGTAAGTTTCATAATAATGATGCTCTTTCATTTAAGATTTTATTGATTATAATCTTGCTTTGTCCTGGATAGATAGTTTAAGGTTTGCCAATTTTTTTTTTAATATAAGAAACTTGTTTTCTTGATATTTTGTATTGCTTTCCATTCTCTATTTCATTTATTGGTGTACTAATCCTCATTACTGCCTTCCATTTTATTTAGATTTTTTTTAGAAATTAGGAATTCTAATTTCCTACAGGAGAAGTTTAATTTATTAAATTTGTAGCTTTTTTTTCAATTTGGGCATTTACTGCTACAAATTTTCCTTTAGCACTGCTTGGCTGCATCCTATAAGTTTTGATTTGTTATGGTTTTGTTCTTATCTCAAAAAGTATTTTTTATCTACCTTGAGATTTCTTCCTTGATAAATTAATAAATTCTTATGAGCTTAAAATAATCTGCTACAACTATAAAATAGTTTTTGTAAGACTTATAACTACAAATAAAAAAGCTATAATAAGTACACAAAATACAAATAGCAAGTAATCAAAACATGCCCCTGGAGAAAATCACTTGACCATAAAAGAAGACAACAAAATAGGAAGAAAGGAAGAAAAAAATCTATAAAACAACTACAAAAGAATAAAATAGCAGTAGTAAGTCCTTGGCTCTTAATAATAATCTTAAATATAAATGAATTAAATTCTCCAGACTCCACAGAAACTGAAAGTGTAGAGATGGATAAAGATAATCCATGTAAATGAAAAACAAAAGAGAGCTATATACATATGACCACTTCTGCTATATGTATATGTAGATCATATAGCAGATCTGTTATGTGTATATAATATTGCTCTCTTAAATATGTACATATATGTACGTAGACATATACATATAGCAGTATACATATAGTATAGTATATATACAGACATATACATATAGTATACATATATGTATACGATATAAGACCTTACTATAAGAACACTGTATAGTATATATGTATATATACTTATATATACATATACACTATACTATAGTGTATACTATACTTATATATACATATATACACTATATTATAGTGTATACTATACTTATATATACATATGTACACAATATATAGTGTATACTATATATACTATATATAGTATATACTATATATACTATATATAGTATATACTATATATACTATATATAGTATATACTATATATAGTATATACTTTATAGTATATATACACTATATACTCTATATAGTATATATACACCATATACTATACATAAACTATATACTATGTATAGTATATATATCATATACTATATGTATATACTGTATAGTATAACTGTATGTATATACTGTATTGTATCTACATATTATACAGTATGTATGTACATACCATACGGTATGTATATACTGTATAGTATAGTATACTATATATACGTATACTATATACTGTGTAGTATAGTGTATATATATACACACACACATATACATATAGCAGATCTGGTATATGCTATATAGTCATGGACTTTCCAGGTGTTGGTGAACTGCCTGTGACTTCCTCCCGCCCCCACTCCTCACGGATAATGAGATGATTGCTGGGCTAGATGCTTTAGCCATGGTTCTGCCTCTATTTTCCATAAAACATGCACATGTCATTTACCTTGTTATGTATGAAAAATCTGTATCACGGGTATACTGAAAGAAATAAAGGTGAGAGCATTCAAAAAAAAGCAGAAGTAGCTATATGTATATCATATAAAATAGATTTTTAAGTAAAAAACTGTGACAAGCGACAAAATGGTCATTATTAATGATAACGGGGTCAATTCAGCAAGAGGGTATAAAAACTACAAATATGTGTGCACCCAATATTGGAATACCTAAATATATGAAGCAAACATTAAATTATTTGAAAGCAGAGTTAGAATGCAGTACAATACAATACAAGTAGGGAACTTCAACACCCCACTTTCAGTAAATGGACTGGCCTCATTCAAAAAGAAAAGTTAATAAAGAAATCTCAGACTTGCCTGGGCGTGGTGGCTCACACCTGCAATCCCAGCACTTTGGGAGGCCAAGGCGAGTGGATCACCTGAGGTCATTGTGTGTGTTTGAAGGGGTTTGACTTTAAAAGACAAACGATACTCAATTATTAATTATATTTTAAAATCAACTATTGTCTTGGTGTGAAGAAAATTTTCAATAATTTTCTCCAGCATCCAATGTCCCCTGTACTATCATATTCCTCCCGGCAACCATTTTTCCTACTTCTCTTAAATCTATTAATTTTGTCCTATTGGTGATATTTAGGCTCTTCCAAGAGATGTATTCATTATGTTATTTGTTTAACTTTTCACAAAAATAATGGGTTGTTTTGATGTTTAGATGAGATAATCAAGAATGCAAGTTTTATTTTATTTTTAATTATTTATTTGTTCGAAATTGACAAAAAAATTGCAAACAAGAAGTTTTGAAGTTTATAAACATTGTGGAGTATCTAGCTAATTAGCATATGCATTACCTCACGTAGTAATTATTTTTGTTGGTAAGAACACTTAGCATTCACTCTCTTAGCATTTTTCAAGAATACAATATATCATCATTAACTCTAGTCACCATGCTGCACAATAGATCTCTTGAATTTATTCCTCCTTTGTGACTATAAGTTTGTATTCTTTGGCTTAGTATAATTAAGCACTGAAGACATCAGTTTCTAGGCTTTTATTTAATGGGAGACTGTTTATTACTGGATCAGTATCCTTACTCAGTAATTGTCAGTTCAGATTTTCTGTTTTCTCATGACTCAATCTTAATAGTCCCTTATGATTCTCTGCATTTCTGTGGCGTCAGTCTTAATGTTTTCTCTTTTCATCTGATTTTGAGTCTTTTCTCCTTTTTTTCATTATCTAAAGATTTATTGTTTTTGTTTATCTTTTAAAATTTCCAACTGTTTATGTTACTCTTTGTTTTGTAACTTTCTTGTCACAATTCTTTGAAGTCTATATTCTGTATCAGGAACAGTCCCCAAAGCTTTTGCCCATTAGCTTTATAATCAGCTAAGTACTAAGTGGGAATTTTCTTAAATATTTTGAGCTTAAGTCTTCCACACATTGCTGAATGTCTCTGTGTGTGTGTTGGTGCCTGCCTTTGATGTTACAGGAACTTATAACTCTTCCTTAACCTTCATTTCCTGCTAGTGCAGAGGCTCAAAATTAGTCAGAGGTAAAATATTAGTGCTGTTTCAAATCTTTCCTGGGCATGCCAATGGTGACATTGTGTGCACCTTTTTGGATCCCAAGGGATGTGTCGGAATTTCAAAATCCCCAAGTTCTCTGTTTAATTTTTTGTCCAGGTTTGTGTTTGTCCCAACCAGTGTCACTCTCTCAGGCATTTTCAATATTCAACTGTTACTGCTGTTTTTCTTTTCCTTTTGTTTTGTTAAGTTGTTTGTTTGTTTGTTTGTTTTGGTGAGAGAGTCATGGCAAGGCTTTTCACACTGAGTGAGTTCTGAGTTAAGTCAAATAATAAAATCCCTGTGACAAGGCTTTTTCTGGAGTTTCCAGACAGCTTAAGTGGTGAAAACTCATTGGCAATGGGTCTGCCCTATCCAGTAGCCTGCTTTTTTTCTCAGCTACATAAGAGCTAAAGAGAGGGGGGACGGAACAAGTCAAGTTAAAATGCAAAAAAAAACTTGAGATTTTTATTGAGATCCAGCCGCTTTTCTTCAAAGCCCACATTCGATTTTTGAGTCTTAGGTTAATTTTCAGACTTTTGATAAAATTAATTTTGAAAATGTTACCGTATTTTCTCATTGCTGTAATGAAGTAACAGATTTTCACAGTCTTTACACGAAGATCCTGAAACCCTGTCTTCAGAAGTGATTAGTCTGTGAAAGCTGATGAATGTGAAGGGTCTCTGAAGATCTTGAATGATAAATAATGTTTGATGTCTTGTTTTGAGTGGTAGGTATATAGGAGTGTA
Source organism: Homo sapiens (assembly GCF_000001405.40). NCBI lineage: Eukaryota > Metazoa > Chordata > Mammalia > Primates > Hominidae > Homo > Homo sapiens. Next base: position 26,790,825 of record NC_000005.10, on the reverse strand, counting down.
CTATGAAAAAACTATATGATCTGTATATTTAAGATTTATCCTTTCATTATATAAATTATACTTCATTACTTTTTTTAAAATCAATTTTCTATGTATTTGCCTCTAGACACTAAAAATAAGCAGACATATACAATATTTAATTCATGAAATCAAACTAAATTAATAGGGAATAAAATTGCAACAGAGTATCAACAAACATAAACGCTGTATTTTAAAATCTAATAAAATGGATAATTCTATGGACAGCTGAAAAAGAAAAAGGGAGACAGAGAGAAAATAATGTGTATGTTATTTCTAGCTGTGTGAAAATGCTTTTAAAATTTTTAGAAAATATATGAATTCCTAGAAAAACATAAAAGGAAAAATAATGCTTTCAGCAAGTTTTCCATTAAAATTCTGAAAATCGTATGCTCGACCTGAGAATGCAAATTTTAATAAGTAGTAGAACTACAAAAAGAAAGTTTTGCACTCAGAATTCCTCAAGAATAGAAGTAGAATTTAAAGGGTAAGCTCTGGACTGAAAAAAAGGATTGCTCTGTTTCCATTAGTGGAATGCAGTTTGTTTAAAACGGGAGCATCATGTTGTGGATAAGATCAGAGATATTTTAGAGGGTGTCATAAAAGTGCAAGTAAATTAATGAAACATTTACAGAATTATTAATAATCAGTAAATCCAATCTAGGCATTTTCAACAAAAGTAAATTGGTTCAGCAACACATTGATACTACATTTGCCAAACTTTATCTTTTATATTACAAATTGTCTTCAATTTGGAAAGAATGGATGATATTGTCTAAAAGAATGCATATAAAAGAGACCCATGACATTCTGAAGTTGAATTTTTTTTCACAGTGAAATGAAAATCTCATTTATAAACTCAATTATTTAGCACTCTAGTGCTAAACAGAAGTATATATGTATTTAAAAAGTGTATTCATGGATTGATCTGCTAAGAATGTCCTATTACATTTCCTTTATATATGTATCTATATGAGCACTACATTTTACACTGCTCAATCACATCATGAAATCACTTTAAGAAGTTCTAATTTCATAATTAACTATGAATCAGGTTTAAGCAAAATACATGCACATGTTCAGTCTGCTGTTTTCATCTCTCTATGAATCGCTTACAGTATAATTAATGAATGGGCACGTCCACTTAGGGGAGTAAAAACGATTCTATTCTCATGTAAAGATAAGGCTACAGACTAGTGTTTACAACAATTCTGTACTCTTATGAACCATACAATATCAAAATCAATGTCCACCCTTGCTTCCCTCAGCTAAAGGTGGATTATAGTACAGATTGTAAGTATGGAAAAAGTAGATAATATAAAGAAAAATGCTATTTGAAGAACAAATATTTTTATTTATTTTTAATTAAATTAAAATAAAATATTTTCAGTAATAGCAGAAGCTATTACTGATGGTTGGCGTATCTTAGAGACTATATGAAGTGCCAGTAATGAGTTGTGTAAAAAGTTGAATTATTTAGAAATACTCCTCTTCTTCAAAAGGTTACAATTATAATAGTTAATGCTAAAAAGAAAACATTGAAGAGAAGACATTCGAGTATGATTCATGCCCAATACTGTCATTCAGCATGTGACACTCATATCCCATGAATTCAACAGGAAACATCATTCAAGACATTATCTATTGAAAATATATTAGAGCTCTGAAACCTTTAGCTTTCATTCTGGAAAGAGAAATTCTTAACCAAGATAATATTTGCATGGCCACAGGTGCCTTCACTCATTATACTCGTGAATATGACTATCATGTCCAAAAATCTCTTTGACACCAGAAGATCTTTTATGTTTAATGATTACTCAACGGGATTGATACTAACGCTGGAATAAGATAATAAAGATAACTGCAAGTAATAGTCTTAAGGAATAGAGATCTAGAATTAATTCTGATCAATAATTCATATCTTCTTCTCTTTTCTATCTAAGCTCAGTCATCTCCATCCATCTGGTTCTCAATTGTGAAACCAGATGGAGTTTAACTTCACACCTCTCTCTGATACAGACCTTTTATCCAATCCATCATGATGTTAATCCATTTTACATGAGAAATATCCCTCAAATTGGATCACTTATCTTCATGTGCAATGTTTCTACTGTATCAATCAGGATAATGTATGCCAGTAACAATGACTGCAAAATGTCAGTGGCTTAAAATTTAACTCTCCTGTACTATATGGTAATTTCAGGTTGGCTTCAGCCTTGCTCTATGTTGTCCTAATTCAGAGACACAGTTGATAGAGTATTCTCTAACTGGAATATTGTTGGTCTCCCGACAGTGAGAAAAGAGCAAATACTGGCCCTTTTAGCTGCTTCTTCTATTAAGTGACATTTTCACATATAATTCCGTGGTCAAAATTTGTCACAGGTATGAACCAGGCTGTAAAAAGAAGTTTAATTATCCCCCACAAATTAAACGAGTATTATTGGTCAGCAATAACTTAGTCAATCATAACACTTCAATTAGGACAAAATTATATTTTCTAAAATAATTATCTAAATTTCCAAGTGATCTACTACCATTCAGTTTTATCGCACCTTCCCCATACTAATCAGTTCTTGAAATTGCAGAACACTTCCTAACATGCAAATCTGAGCAACTCATCTTCCTTCAAATATTACTTGCATTATCCTGAAAGATCTTGAAATTAGCCCTTTCCTCTCTCTCTCTTCTCTTTCTCTCTTCCTCCCTGTCTTATCCATTGATTTTTCCATTTCAGTCATGATGGCCTCTTTCCCATTCTCTTCTACTTATCATCATTCTTCTGTTAGAGAGATTTTTCCTGTAAGAAGATTTCTTTATATTCTCCTCTACACATGGTTCGCTCTTTCCCATTCTTCACATATCAGAACAAGCCTTCCCTTCTCAAGAAATTAATCTCTAAATCCCCTGTGATATATCCTCTTTTAGGGAGGGTCTCCTAATTCAGTGTACCTCTTCACTTTTGCGCAGGGCATGTTTCTTTCTTTTTTTTCTTTCCTTTTTTTTTTTTTTTTTTTTTTTTGAGACAGAGTCTTGCTCTGTTGCCCAGGCTGGAGTGCAGTGGCACGATCTAGGCTCACTGCAAGCTCCGCCTCCCGGGTTCACGCCATTCTCCTGCCTCAGCCTCTCCGAGTAGCTGGGACTACAGGCGCCCGCCACCACGCCCGCCACCATGCCCGGCTAACTTTTTTGTGTTTTTAGTAGAGACAGGGTTTCACCATGTTAGCCAGGATGGTCTCTTATCTCCTGACCTTGTGATCCGCCCGCCTCGGCCTCCCAAAGTGCTGGGGGATTACAGGCGTGAGTCACCGCGCCCGGCCGCGCAGGGCATGTTTCAATTGGATAATTTACTAAAGTCTGTGTCTTCCACTAATATAAGACTGAAAGACTTACAAAGACTAAAATTTGTAAAACAGACTCTGCCTGTATGATTAGCTACTATGGGTAAAGATGAATAGGAAAAATGTCTGTTCTCTCTGAAACTGTTGTATCTTTCCTCAAAGTCTTCAAAAGCTGAATTGTATTTTCCCTGTATTTCTCTCTTCCATCATCTGTAACATATTTCTTCAGGAATTATTGAACAGGAGATTAAAATTCCCTAAAATTTTCAATTAATAGACTTCTGATACTTTAATGTGTTACTTTATGTAATCATCTGAGCAGCTCAATAAGGTGAATGTTATCTCTATTTTACTGACGATGCAATAGAAGCCCAGTATTATACACTAGCAGCTTTTGGCTCTACAGTTATAATCAAATTTATCTGACTCTAGTACTGAAACTCTCCTGACAAATCACAGAAAGTGAGAATCTTTTCCCTTTGTGGCAATAGAGATTATTTAGAACATCTTCATGATGTGTTTCCTCCAGCAATTCACTGTTCTGCTCCTTATTTTCTGCCAATTACATACTATTTGTTTTTTATCTATCTTTGTGTTCTATTTCATAACACTGAAGAATTTGATTCTTTTAAAATTCTGCATTCTTTAATGCATATTTTATAATTTTATAAATTATAATGTTTTCATAACTGTCAATATAGATACCTTTTCAAGAAAATTGTAAGATCCTTTCAACCAGATTTGTTTTTTTGTGTGTGTTTAACAGTTTTAAATATAGCATTATCTTAAATATGTATTAATAAATAAATGAGTAAATTAAATTGTTCAGCAATTTAGGGATACATATTTAACTCAAGAAAATATTGAAAATGAGCATATTTTTAGTATACAAAATTTTCAGTGGGCAAGAATAATATTTAGCAATATTTCTTTCAAATTAAAAATTTTGAATAATTTTTCTACTGATAATATGTCTCATATTTCATGCTACTGTTGACTTCCTATTTTAAAAAGTAATAAATATGCTCAGTTGAGAAAAGCCAATTTTATTACTATGGTTATTTATGTATTTTTTTATTATTTAGGTTTTATTGTATGAGAAATTCTTTTCAGTATCACATACAACTTCTGCTGGTTATTAAATCAAATTTTCTGTTGTGATTTAATGGGAAAGAAGTAACTAAATAACCTCATATTTAAGATTAAGTATAGTATATGGCCTTTACAACCTAAAGCACAAAATACCTAAGTAAAAAGTTCAGTCCTATTATAGGACTTAAGAATGATAACTGGTGCTGAGAATGATAAAACTAAGGCATTACAAGAACCTGAAAGAACGTTTATTTGGAAAAATAAGGCCTCAAATATCGAATGCTTATTCTTATATTAAATCACATGCAATAGAAAAATAGACTTCTTTCTTTGGGGTTTGCTTTTCCTACTTGACAAGTAAGGGGTGACTCAATGTCCCTGGACTTAATTTTCTTTAATCATAAAATAAAGATTAGTACTATATTTTAAAATTATTATAATGTTAACATCAAAAGATTTAAATGAATTTAAATAATGCTAATATTAACCTACTACTACTATCACAAAGAGAAACACATATTACAGATCATTTATTAATTATTTTCACTTATTACCTCATATCATTTATTAATTATTTTCACCTGTTGCCTCATTTGCTCCTCACACTTACCCTATTAGCCATGCCCTTAATTTTTACTTGTCGTAAAGGCTGAAGAATCTGAATCCTGTAGAGATCAGGTAAGTTGCCCTTGAACTTGCCCATGATTGCACCTTTTGAGCAAGATTTGAATCCAAATACTTGAAAGCCTTTGCTTTTAACTACAATGTATAATATATGTTAATACTCTTCATTAGTAGCCTGATACAGTCTTTCTCACTTATCCTAGATAAAAAGAAGCTATGGTATAATTGTAAATATACAAATATGAAACAGAGTCAGTAAGCACTTATGTAGCTCCTAAAAGCCTGGTGAGGTTCAGCTGCAGTAATACAAATCAATGTGGAGTATCACTCTAATGGCACTATGGCAACAAAGATCTTCAAGTGAATGGGAAATTACAAGGGTTGAATTTATTCCATTCACTAAATGAAAACTGCAATCTTGTCTTCTTCTTAGTATAGAAATATCCAATAAAAATACTTCATTTAACAACTGCCACGCACTGCTTTTTGGACAATTACAGTACAGACTCTTCCTTTCCTAACTGTACATTTGTGGGTTTTATGTACCGACCAATCAAGACTATTTACTTCACTTAGAACTTCTGCCAAAAAGGCAATTTTGTGTATAAATGGCTTCAATCTGGGAAGCTATCCAAAAGAAGCTGTTCAGGTGAATAACCGTGTGATTTACATGCAGGTGCAAATAATAAACTTAGAAATAGTTTGAAAATGCTAACTAAAGAAATGGAGTAGAATTGAGTTAACTAGACAGTTATATTGCTGCTTTTCTAGTATTTTTAAAATCCTAGAAATGTTATTTATATATATATATTTAGAAGAATGCATCTTGCTTTGAGTTTTGCCTATGAGTTTGATGTTTAGGAAAATAAACCTTAAGGTAATGACTCATAGCTACACAGAATCTAATGGTTAAACATGTTAGTGGAATGGAAAAGAGCTTTTTTCTACTTGACTTAAAAGAGGATCATTCCAAAGGGATACTTAAAAAAATTCACTTTTTCTCTACTTTTTTCTTCTCAGACAAAAATAAATGAATATTATTTATTTATTTTAGATATTGTACTACATAAAGCAACCATGTAAATGATCAAAAAACCAACAGTATAAAAAGAAGGCCACAGTTTTTACAAGAAGTTCAAAATATATCTATCTACAAGACTACTTCTAGATAATTTGAAAAATTAAAATCAATAAAACTCTGAAATAAAGGATTGAATCATATGTGAGTGATAGAGGTTCGACATGGTTCTTTCCCTTGTCTACCCAAGACAAATTTTAGTTTGTCTTGGGTAGGTTTTTTTTTTAAGTTATCAGTATCTTATTTGCTAACATCTGTAGATGACATTCAGGAGAAACACACAAATGGTAAGAAAGCTGATAGGGCATTCAATGACTGGTATTTGTGTGCCCACACCACCAGGTAGTAAAAATGGAAGCTCAAGAGCTCTGAACCTTAATTTACTCCTCAGAAAGTAATTCCTGGTTTGACTACCCTCAAAATTTGTATAAGGGTTAAATGTTGTAGTAATTATGAAACTCTGTTTTTATAAAATGGTTTTATAAATGAGTTTTATAGAAAAAATAAAAAGCACTTTTAAATTACTTAATGAATAAACGTAATGATTCACAAATCACTACCACATAGGGTCTCTGGTATGGAAGTGATTTAACAACAATTGTTCTAGTGTGTTAAACAAAATGTGACATACTCTTTCTATGAAAACTAAAAACATATTAAGTGCATACTTGTTCTGGTTCTGTATATACACTGCTATATTTCAAGTATTTTAAACAATACTAGGCATGAAAATTTTGTATGATATCTGCAAACTTGAAGAAAAATATCACCTTACTATTACTCTCATAAGTAGATTATTATTAGCCAGAATTAGTCCTTTCTATTATATCAGATAGATTGCTGGTTTTATAGTTAGCTATGCTTAAATTTACATTTGTTTCTGACACATATTAAAGTCTATGACCTTGGGTAAGGCTCATAACTCCTTGAATCTCCTTTTCTTCATTTATAATAGTATGAAAGGACTTAAGAGATAAATGTAAGAAAGAGGAGAATGGGGGAAGGAATTAGAGGATATTTTAGAAATAAATGAGATAACTAGAAATTAAACCTAAACAAATCCTTAAGCCATTGGTTTATAAAAACTTGTTTAATAACATCCCTTTGTCCTAGTTGATGAACGGAATCAAGAAAATCATTATATGATGGAAATCGCCATGTAAATTTATTATTTCCTCAACTAGAAATAATTTTAATCTAATATTGCATATCTATTCATATTCATATTGTCAAAGTTATGTGCATGTTACAAATAAGTAAGTATTGCCAAATTCCCCTTGAGGTATGGGTTAGAAATTGTAAATCTCATTAAGTCTGTTATAGGGTGTGTTTCTCCAAAAATAGTCATTATTAACATTTAACAAAATATTTTTACTATTTTCTAAAAGGAAAATCAAAAATTAAAATAAAGTGAGTGCATTGATTTCAATGTCCCTATTTTTATCACATTTTACCTCTTTACCTATGTTTATTTCCCTTTTTTCTGGTATAAATTGCCTTTATGTATTATTTAAACATATACTATTATCTCTTTGTGGTTGTCATGTTGCTTTTGGATATATTTTTAATTTAATACGTGTCACAAATACTATTTCAAATGTAACATGTAGCTTTTTCTTAATAGAAACTGTTCTCCAGTGGTAGTTTGTAATCTCAAAATTATTTCTTGGTTTCATACCAAGAAAATTGTCCCCAATACTTTTTTAATATTTTATGTTTCTTTTAGGTTTTTAATCTATAAGTTGCATTGTATATAAAGTAAAATTAAATGTACTTGCTTAAATTATAAGACAATCCATTAAATATAAAGCACTGTATATTACAGACTCTCCACCAGTGATCAAAATACTAAATTTGCCATATTTTAAATGTATACATCTCATAATATTTGTTTCCTTAATATTTTTTGAAATTTGTTTTTCATGATTCTCCGTGTCTTATTTTACAGGATTTTATTAACTATTATTACTTATTTCCTATTACACTTTATTGTCAACTTGTAAAAGTTGTAATAACATTTTCATTAAAATTTCCAGAGGACACCTACAGTTTCTTGCCAAATGGGGCTCAAACATGAGAGTTTGCTTCATTAGAACCAGCATTAAAGAGAATCTGTTGGTACTATGGATGTCATATTTTTTGTAACCAAATAACAGATACAACATCCCTCAGTGTTGCTCTGTTCTATTAGAGGCACATTACTTAAGGGGAGGGGCTTGCCCTAGACAATAAATACCAGTACATGGCAATCATTAGGGACTTTCTTAGAGAGCGACTGTCACATACCAAAACCAACGAAAACATTGAAATGAAGATAATGTTTCCAGACTAATATCTCTCATGGAAATAGATGTGAATATCCTTAATAATATGTTAGCAAATTTAACCTATAATAGCATTACATAAAATGATAATACCCTATGACTATGGAGTTCATCTCAGGAATACAAAGGTTGTTCTACAATCAAAAATCAATCCATGTCATTCACCATATTAGCAGACTAAATAAGAAAATTAAATTGTATGATTATCCCAATAGATGCAGAAAAAAAACACTCATTCAGATTCAAACCCATCCATGATAAAATCTCTCAGTAAAATAGGAATGTTCGTTCCTAGCCCTTATCTAATAATGGGTATCTACTACAATCTACAGCTACCATCTCGCTTAATAGTGACACAGTGAATACTCTCCCACTGTTATGGACTGAGTGTTCTCCCCTCAAAAGTCATATGTTGAAGCCCTAAACCCCAATGTGATTGTGTTTGAAGATAAATCTTTAAAGGTCATAAGGCTGGGGTCTTCATCTAACATGACCGATGTTCTTATAAGGGAGAGACACCAGCAATGCCCATGCAAAAAAAAAGGCCATGTGAGGTCATAGCAAGAAAGTAGCCTTCTGCAAGACATAGTGAAAGGTCTTGGGAGAAACCAAACCTGTCACCCTCTTGATCTTGGAATTCCAGGCTCCAGAACTATGCAAAAATAAATTTCTGTTGGTTAAGCCTCTTAGTCTGTGGTCTTTTGTTATGGCGGCTCTAGCAGACTAATACACCCCGTAAGTTTCTGAAAAAATCAAGGATGTTAATTCTCCCTACTCGTCTTCAAAATCATACTGTATAAAAGTTACAGCTATGAGGATAAAGTCACTAGTCAGACCCAGAAAAAATACGGTCAGAAAGGCATGAAGGAGGGGGACTCATGCTTACGTGTCTGAAATAACTGTTTCCAAGGACTCTCTAAAAGCCTCACACGAAATCCCTTCATGTCCTTCACACATCTCCTGCTTGCACGTTTCACACCTATGGACATGTGTCTATGGCAAGAGTTTTCTATAAATATTTAGTAGGACACAGCAATTCAGATTAGATGTTCTCAAAATAATACTTGCCCAGTAACAGCATCTCCACTAATAAACTGACAACTCTGACTCTGAGTCTATGAAACCAGTCAGCTTTGATTCCGAACCTCTTATGTAAACTTCTCCCTTAAGCCCATACAAGCTTCCCTTTACTTTTCTCTCTCTGGATGCACCAGTGGCTTGCCGTGGCCAAGCATCCCAGATTATAATCCTCTTTGCTTATTCCCAGATAAATTCAACATATTTGGAGATAATTTTCTCTGATGACTTTTTTTTTTTTTGAGACGGAATTTCACCCTGTCGCCCAGGCCGGAGTGCAGTGGTGTGATGGTGGCTCACTGCAACCTCCTCCTCAACGGGTTCAAGCGATTCTCCTGCCTCAGGCTCCCGAGTAGCTGGGATTACAGGCGTACACCACAACGCCCATCTACTTTTCGTATTTTTAGCAGATAGTGACAGTGTTTCACCATGTTGGCAAGGCTGGTCTCGAACTCCTGACCTCAAGTGATCCACCCACCTCGGCTTCCCAAAGTGCTGGGATTACAGGCGAGAGTGCCACTGCACCGGGTCCTTTTTTTTTTTTTTTTTTTTTAATTTAACAAATGGAAGTCCTAGACAGTGCAAAAAGGCTGGAAAAAGAATAGAAATAAAGAAACAAAATTGTCTGTATTTGCAGATTACATAATTTTTATGTAGAAAATCCTGCAAAATATGTCAAACTTTTCTAGAATTTATGAGTTTAGAAATGTTGTGGTATAAAACATCTACATATAGAAGTTAATCGTAATATGCTAGCACTGCTCACTAGTTATTGGAATTTTCAAAATGCAATAGTCCCCCCAAAATAAAATAGTTTTGCCTAAATCTAACAGAATATGTGAAATACACATTTGTTACAAGCTGTAAAGCCTTGATGGTAGAATCAAAGATGATCTAAATAACTCAAGAGATATACTATATTCATGCATTGGAAGACTTGATATTGTTATGATGTTAATTACCCATTATTTGATTTATAGATCTAATGCAATTCAGTATCCCAAAAAGGTGAATTCAAAATTTATTCAAAGCAAAAAAGAAACTGTAATGGACCAAACAATTATAAAAAGAACAAAGTTAAAAGTTACTCAATTTGAAAATTTAGTAATTAAGTAATTTAGACAGTAATCAAGATAACTATTTAAGATAGTAATTAAGACAGTATAGTATTGGTGAAAGTATAGATATGCATATATCAATAAAACAGAATAGAGAGTCTGAAATACCCACACAAATAGAGTGATTTATAAAAAAGGTGCAAAGGCAATTCAATGAAGAAACTTGTTTATTCAGCTGATGGTGGTGAAACAAATATCCACAAACAAAAAGATTAATTTATGACTTTCTTTATACAAAAATTAATTCAAAATGAATTTTAGACTTAAATATAAAACTGAACACTATATATACGAGAAAATCTATGAAATGTTGAATTTTGCCATGAGTTTTCATATATACACTCATTATCATAGTCTAGGTTTATGTAAGATATTGATTTCATTCAAAAACATGATGACTAACATTAACAATAACATAAATTATCTAGCTCTAATTAATTCAACCAGTATAAACTGTTCATTTGTTTTTAAAATTAGGGACACACACAGTGTCTAATCACTCTTTGCATAATAACATTCATCCACAGGGAAATGCATATGGTGCTATCTACTCATAAAATCGAATAGAATTCAACAGTGATTACCAATGCATTAGCACTACATTATTAACAAGGATCAATCTAACAAAAATTTAGTGAAAAGGAAGGCTTGTGTAAGAATATAGAGAATTTTGCAATTAATATATTCAATTTTGACAATTTTGTACTGAGATATAATAGGATATGCACATTCTATACATATATGAAGACATGAATGAGAATAATAAAACTCAAAATTGGTGTAATGATATCTCTTCATGAGGGAGACGTTTTCAGTGAAACAGAGGCCTCCTTTTTATTTTATTCATAGTATTTTCTTGAGCTGAAAGAGAAGTACATAGTTGTCGATTAAAATATTCCCTATAACTTTTACCTATTAAAAATACTTTACACTAAATATAATAAATTTCATGTCCCATCATATTTAGCATTGAACATGACTATTATTTATCAGAGAATATAACTGTACTTTAATAACTATGTGTTTAGCAGAGGACACAGTTGTTCATTGTTCAGAACCTGAAACAAGTTTTGGGAAGCAGGCCTTTGATGTCCTCTTAGAGGGGTACACTTTTATTCAAATTGGGGAAGAGCGTACACAAGACGACTTTCAAATAAGACAGAGCACACATGTGTTAGAATACTAGTACAGCCATAAGTTGTTCCTCTCTCTGATCCTATGCCTTTGGTAGTACCCTCCTACGCTGACTCTGAGGTTGGCCATGAAACGTATCTTGCTGTATCTGGGACCTTTCCACAATTGTATAATCCAGCCTGGGCAAGCTTGCTTCATCAATTGATGACACCTTGCTGGTAGATGGTTGGCAACTGAGTACAAATGCATGACTGAGCCCAGTCCAGATCACCAGAAGCACTTCTCAGCTGAGTACAGCCAAATTGACAACCATAGAATCATGAGCTGAATAAATGGTTGTTGTTTTAAGACATTAGATTCAAGGCAAAATATTTGGGTCCAATAACCGTTATGTACTAAAAGCTAATTAATAGAATATGAAATAATATACGTGATATATTAATGAAAGGATTTATATTAAGTCTATTTCCATACACTGGTTTTAATCAAGAAAATATTTTTAAATTATGCTCTATGTTTAGAAATAAGATACAGAAATATTTTATGTCTTTATCTTTCAGTGCTCAGTTCATGTCTTAGTAATTTTTAAATTGCACTGTTAGTTTAATTTAAATCAAACTCTTTGTTTGCTAATATATACATCAAATAACATGTTTACTGGCCTATTAAATTTTGTGTATGACATAGGTACTAAAGCTATGCGATTCTTAATGATTTCAGCATATTGCAAAACTAATTTGGCGATAGGTATTGTAATAATTAATAATTTTATCTTATTTCTGATTCTATATAGAATGATTATGCCTGAAGAAGCTAAATAAACTTATTGATGAAGAGCTGGACAATAATTTAGGATGTAACTTTAACTTTGACACTGTTTTTGATATTTCAGCATGATAATCTATAAGGGGAATGACAAAGCAATTTACATAAAAATCCTATAAAAATACAAATATTGTTATTTGAGGTTCACTAAAACACTGATTTAACAGATTTCTATTTATTTTACTTGTATTTTTGGTTGGCATATAACTTAATACATAATAACATATTTTCCTAAGTAGTTCTCATTGACCCTAGAGCTTGAAATTATAAATGATTTATAAAATTTGCATAAAGATACATGCAAATATGTTCTTCTTTGTCTTTATTCTGTATATAGGCTTAAGGTAAGACTTAAATTTCTGATCGTACTAGTATATTTTGATTTGAAATTTGTCTTACAATTTCCTCCTTTCTTTTCCCTCTTTTTTTCTGTACTTCCTTACTACTCATCATCTCTTTTCTCTCCTTCCTTCTCTCTTTCTTCCTCTCTTTCTCTTTCATTCTTTCTATTAACTTAAACTAATAGTTGCTAGATAATGATCTTTCTTTATTCTCAGAGATGGACTATTATGTAGTTTTCTGAGAATTGCTGCTATTTAGAGCCTCAATACTAAATTCATTGAAAAATCAGTTATTATTTATTTTTTGCAGTTGAACAATGTATGTTACAGGTTGAATTTATAAATAAAAAATATTTATTGTCTGAAGTCTCCAATGTTCCATTAGATTTCCATGACATGTTTTTAGTACCCTAAGACCCATTCATAGTCTAGGATCTTTGGGTGGAGGGATCACAGAGTGTGAACGATAAATACGTATCTGTAATGAAGAGAGAATGCAAATAAGAAAGAATTAAAGTAGGTAAAAAAGGCACTAAATCTTGGGAATTAGATTACCTCTTGTATCGCTAGAAATTGAAGTTGCATTTTGAGGTGAGAGGAAGCCATTAATGCAGTATGTTGTTGCAGGATCCTCACCACTTTCCTCAGTCAATTATTTTTCACTGAAATTTAGTTTGTCTAGCGCAGTATTTTTCTTCTCTCCAAGAAGCCCTGTTTGTGAGAGTAAAATTAATGTTAGCATGCTTATAGAATAATTATATGCTATATATTTGCATTTCTTCCAATCTCAAGTATTCAATCTATAAGACTGGAATTTTGTGTAATAGTAAAGAAATATATTTTTTGCAGTATCACATTACATTTTAAATTTCATCTCCATAATTTAAAACATTATCTAAGCATAGAAAAATGGAAATTTATACCTTGTGGTAACAAATAAAAATAATATAAGTTCTTCTCAATTTTAAATTATAATTATTAAAGGTACATACATAGCAATTTAATATAAAGAAACGCCTGCTTAGTAATAGTTGGAGTTAATTTGTCTTAATTTCATGTCATGAAAAAATTAATGTAACTCTAATGAAATGTATAGCTAAACAACCATAATACTAACATAAATATGGTGAACTATCTGGTTAAAATAAGTAAAATATATAATTTGCCATTATAATATTTTTATGCATTAATACATTAAAATAATTAATAAATAATTGTTGATTTCAAATTATTAAGCTATTGATGAATCTCATTATGTTCACATTATTTGTACAAACACACACACACACACACACACACAAACACTGCAATTGTTTTACATTAGCTAAAAAATAATTCATGAAATATGTACATCTACTCCAGTTTAAAATGTGGAGAGAATTTCCTGAACTCAGATAGAAAAGAGGAATAAAGAGATTGCATATGTGGATATATTCTTGAATATAACAATGATAAGTAAAACATAAGTCTCAAAAATAAGACCAAGGAAACATTTAGCATTGTGAAAATTAGTGACAAAAACATACAAAGAAAATTATAGAAAATATCTTTATTGCACAAGTTAGAGAAACATGTTAGAAAGAATCAGGTTACAAATTAAATGTTTTCTACAAGCTTGTGAGCCATGGGAAAAAATAAACTCATAAATAAATATAAATATCAAATAAAAGTATAATATCATAAAAATGACAGACTAAATAAAACTATTAAAATTTCCATGTCAGAAAAAATATATAGGGGGATATAGATAATACATACACAAAATGTGAAATATACTTAAAAATGCAGAGAAATTGAAAAATAAAGATAATAAGAGAGGCAACTAAGCTATATATAATAAAAGCATAGACATAACTCCATGGAAAACTAGAAGACCCAGAGAGTAGTGCAAATACCAGTAAAATTAAACTATGCTTTTTTGAACTTAAAAAAAAATCAGATAAAAAAATCTAGAGGACTCATTATATTCTGGGAGTGGGTAGTGGATAAAAGATTTATATTGCATTTTTTAAAAATCAGTAGTAAAAGAAATGTCTAAGAACTTTAGCAACATATGAAACAGATTTTTCTAAGTGAAATCTGTAATAAAGATCATATAATGTGTTATAATGTATCCTAAATATTACAAACTACATATTCAGTATTTTTAAAACTGAGTTATTTTTAATTCTATTACCATCAAGTAGCTTATAGTCAAATAATTACCTCAATGAGAACTAGAAAAGCAGATTGTATTAGTTAGGGTTCTCTAGAGGGACAGAACTAATAAGATAGATGATAGATAGATAGATAGATAGATAGATAGATAGACAGACAGATAGATAAATAGATAGAAAGGGGAGTTTATTAAGTTTTAACTCACATGATCACAAGGTCCCATAATAGGTCGTCTGCAAGCTGAGGAGCAATGAGAGCCAATCCAAGTCCCAAAACTGAAGAACCTGGAGTCCGATGTTCGAGAGCAGAAAGCATCCAGCATGGGAGAAAGATGTAGGCTGGCAGGCTAGGCCAGTCTAGTCTTTCACATTTCTCTCCCTGCTTTATATTCTAGCTGCTCTAGCAGTTGATCTGATTGTGCTCACCCAGATTAAAGATGGGTCTACCTTTCTCAGCCCACTGACTCAAATGTTAATCTCCTTTGGCAGCACCGTCACAGGCACATCCAGGATCACTACTTTGCATCCTTCAATCCAATCAAGTTCACACTCAGTAATAACCATCACGAGTCCACACCTTGTCAACTAGAACACATAGGCATCTCCTGAGATGATGCATAATCTTCAAATAAAGACAACAATAAGGTCATAATTATGCCTAACATATTACAACTATCCTTCCTACAACCGGAAACGCACCAATCCCAAACCCAAATGCTATTACATAAAGTTTATGATACTTAAATGCTGATATGAAGTCAATAAATCTTATGTCACATGATAAAGGAAAAAAGAAATTAAGTGAAAATATTTTCTCAGTACAAGTGTATACATGCACAAACATGTTTTTAACAAAAGAAGGAGGAAATATTTATGACAATAACTGTCCCCGTTTCTGCAGCTGGTCATGTGGTCATAGCTGGTATTGATGACTAGCTTCTTCTACTATCCACTCTGTATTCCCTTTGCCTTCAGCAAGCACCTCATCAGATCATGGTTTTTTTCCTGGTGGAGTAACCCAAACCTTCATTCCTCAAGGGTCTGGGCCATTTGTAGTCTTGCCTGGATTGGGATGGTGTAGGTACGTTAATCACAGGGCATGGTAACATTAAGAGACACCCTAATGGATCTCCTGTATTTCACAAATACTCTTCCTTACCTCCGTTGTGGAGTAGAAGACTGATTTCGCCTTGATAGTTCGGGTCAATCACCCCAGCCCACATTGTAAGTCCCTCCTTAGTCTCTTTTTTTTTTTTTTTTTTTTTTGAGACGGAGTCTTGCTCTGTCACCCAGGCTGGAGTGCAGTGGTGCGATCTCGGCTCACTGCAAGCTCCGCCTCCTGGGTTCACGCCATTCTCCTGCCTCAGCCTCCCAAGTAGCTGGGACTACAGGCGCCCGCCACTACGCCCGGCTAATTTTTTGTATTTTTAGTAGAGACGGGGTTTCACCGTTTTAGCCGGGATGGTCTCGATCTCCTGACCTCGTGATCCGCCCGCCTCAGCCTCCCAAAGTGCTGGGATTCTTAGTCTCTTGACTTAAAGGTAGGAGGAGCCCAAAGGTACCAACTGGCAATTTTAACTTCCAGTTTAATGGAATCGTTGTTATGTCTCCTGGTGGCAGCGTTCCTCCCTCTGGAACTAAGACCTCTAGCCCAGCAGAATGTAATGCCATGGGAATAGGAAGCAAAAATTTCACTAGTGGGTCACTAGGGGTGATGGTGAGTGGTGTCACTTCCACTTCCAACCCTTGATTTCTAAACCCAGGAATCCTGGCTATGGGAGAAAATTTGCCCCAGCCCTGCAAAGTATTGTCACCTAGTTTGCATTGTAATTGTGACTTCAAAAGGCAATTCCACTGTTCTATCAATCCAGCTGCTTCAGGATGATAGGGAACATGGTAAGACCAGTGAATTTCATGAGTATGAGCCCACTGCCATAATCCTTTAGCTGTAAAGTGAGTGTCTTGGTCAGAGGCAATGCTGTGTGAAATACCATGATAGTGGATAAGGCATTCTGTGATTCCAGCGATGGTAGTCTTGGCAGAAGGATTGCATGCAGGATAGGCACATTCATATCCGGAGTAAGTGTCTATTCTAGCGAGGACAAACCCCTGCCCTTTCTATGATGGGAAGAGGCCCAATATAATCAACCCGCCACCAGGTAGCTGGCTGATCACCCTGAGAAATGGCTCCATATCGAGGGCTTATTGTTGGTCTCTGCTGATGGAAAATTGGGCACTCAGCAGTGGCCATAGCCAGATCAGACTTGGTGAGTGGAAGTTCATATTGCTGAGCCTATGCATAACCTCCATTCCTGCCACCATGGCCACTTTGTTCATGGGTCCACTGGGTGATGACAGGGGTGGCTGGGGAAAGAGGCTGAGTGGTGCCCACAGAAGGGGTCATCCTATCCACTGGATTATGAGGCCTCTCCTCTGCTGAGGTCACACATGGGTGAGCACTCACATACAAATATCTTCATGGTTTTTGACCATTCAGAGAAGTCCATCCACATACCTCTTCCCCAAATTTCTGTCACCAATTTTCCAATCATGCTTCTTCCAAGAACCTGACCATCCAGCCTAACCATTGGCTACAGCCGAAGAATCAGTATATAATCTCACATCTGGTCATTTCTCCTTCCATGAAAAGTGCACAACCAGGTGCACTACTTGGAGTTCTGTCCACTAGGAATATTTCCCTTCACCACTGTCCTTTAGGGATGTCCTACAATGGAGCTGTAGTGCTGCAGCTGTCCACTTTCGGGCGGTGCCTGCATATCGTGCAGAACCATCTGTGAAACAGGCCCTAGTCTTCTCTTCCTCTGTTAACTGATCATAGGGAACTCCCCATGAAGCCATTGTTGCAGGCTGGGGGAGAGAATGCAGGGTCATAGGAGTGTAGACCATGGGCATTTGAGCCACTTCCTCATTTAACTTACTTGTGCTTTCAGGACCTGCTCGAGTCTGATCACATATATACCACTTCCATTTGATGATGTAATGCTGCTGTGCACGACCCATTTTATAGCTAGGTGTATAAGAAAGCACCCAGTTCATGATAGGTAGTTCAGGTCACATGGTGACTTAATGACCCATAGTCAAACATTCAGTTTCCACCAAAGCCCAGCAAAAAGCCAAGAGCTGTCTCTCAAAAGGAGAGTAGTTATCTGCAGAAGATGGCAGGACCTTGCTCCAAAATCCTAGAGGCCTTCATTGTGATTCATCTATGGGGGCCTGTCAGAGGCTCCAAACAGCATCCCTATCTGCCACTGACACATGAAGCACCACTGGATCTGCTGGGACATATGGTCCAAGTGGCAGAGCAGTTTGCACAGCAGCCTGTACCTGTTACAGAGCCTTCTCCTGTTTTGGACCCCACTCAAAACTGGCAGCCTTTCAGGTCACTCGATAATTGAGCTGGAGTAACACACCCAAAAGAGGAATGTGTTGCTTCCAAAATTCACATAGGTCCACTAGGCATTGTTCTTCTTTCTTGGTTGTAGGAGGGGCTAAATGCAGCAACTTATCTTTCACCCTACAAGAAATATCTCAACAGGTCCCACACCACTGGAGCCCTAGAAATTTTACTGAAGATAGAAGTTCCCTGAATTTTAGTTGGGTTTATTTCCCATCCTCTGGCATGCAAAGGTCTCACCAATAAATCCAGTGTGTTTGCTATTTCGCACTCACTAGATCCAGTCAGCATAATGTCATCAATGTAATGGACCAGTGTGATATCTTGTGGAAGTGCAAAGTGATCAAGGTCTCTCCCAATAAGATTATGACACAAAGCCAGAGAGTTAATATTCCCCTTGAGGTAGGACAGTAAAGGTATATTGCTGGTCTTTCCAGCTGAAGGCAAATTGCTTCTGGTGGACCTTATGGACAGGAATGGAGATAAAAACATTAGCCAAGTCAATGGCTGCATACCAGGTACCAGGAGATGCGTTAACTTGCTCAAGCAATGAAACCACATCTGGTACAGCAGCTGCAATTGGAGTCACTACTTGGTTAAGCTTGTGGTAATCCACTGTCATTCTCCAAGCTCTCTCTGTCTTCCGCATGGGCCAAATGGGAGAGTTGAATGGGGATATTGTGGTGGGAATCATCTCCCCTGTGTCTTTCAAGTCCTTGATGGTGGCACAAATCTCTGCAATCCCTCCAGGGATGCAATATTTTTTTTTTTTTTTTTTTTGAGTTACTGTTTTTCTAGATAGAGGCGGCTGTAATTGCTTCCATTTACCCTTCACCACCATAATACCCCTAACCCTACCAGCTAGGGAGCCAATGTGGGGGTTCTGCCCACTGTTAAATATGCCTATGCCGATAATGCATTCTGGCACTGGGGAAATGACCACAGGATGAGTTTGGGGACTCACTGTACTCACTGTAAGTTGGACTTAAGGTAAAACTCCATTAATTATCTTACCTCTGTAAAGCCCTACTTTAAGTGGAGGATTACAATGATGCTTTGGGTCCCTTGAAATCCATGTCAGCTCAGAGCCAGTGTGCACTAGTCCCAGAAATGTCTGATCATTTCCCTTTCCCCAGTGCACAGTTACCCTGGTAAAAGGCCAGAGGTCTCCTTGCGGAAGGATGGGAGTAAGATTCACTGCATAAATTGTTGGTAGTGTAGTGAGTCCTTCCTTAGGAGGACACTGCCTGTCTTTCATTCAAGGTGTTCTGGGTCTGTAAACTGGCTCAAGTCTGGAAATTTCTTGAGGGGCCATGGGTCTCTGCTTCTATAATTCAAATTAGTTTTTTGTCCATTTGATTGAGAAGTTTTCTGCTTATATAAATTAAGTATTGATTCCGAAAGGCTTTCTATGAATTTGACTTCTAGGAACATTTTGATTAATTAGCCAATGACAGAGCTCTACACAAGTCAGACTATTCTGATTGCTGCTTTGCCTCTGCTGTCCATTACGGTAGCCACACACACTTTGCCCTTGATGGTTGAGTGCCGCCACTTGGCCTCTGACAGTTCAGGATCCAGTTATTCCCACTGAATTTAAATATTGTAGTGGAGTGACTGTGGTTCCCACTGTTCGATGTGACATACAGAGAAGAGCAATTACAGGTCTCTTCAAAGATGCAGGTGTTGCTCTCACAAATCTATTTCACCAGCCATTGGTTAAGGGTGTATTTTCTGGACCCTCCCAGCTGGAATGAATAGGTCTAAAGTGACTAATCCATTCCACCATTCCAATATCCCTAAGCCTTTGGATCCCTTCCTCTACATTACACCAAGAAAGATCAGGCATTTTCAGCTTGTCCCCAGCGGGCCATCTTTTAATCTATATTTCAGCTAGCCAAGCACATAAACTATTAGCACCTTTTTTTTAACTTTCCAAGCTGCAGCATTAAATGCGGAGTCCCTAGTGGGCCCAAATCAATAAATTCAGCCTGATCCAACACTATGCTCCTTCCAACATTATCCCACACCCTTAATATCCACTCCCATGTGTGTTCTCCAGATTTTTTCTTCCATAAATTAGAAAACTCAAGCAGTTCTTTGCAAGTCTAGTGCACCTTCTCATGGGTGATAGTGAGTTCACCCAGATGTCACCCAGATGTGCCTCTGAATGTCACATCCAGGGGCCCACTAGGACTTCAGTCTAGTTATTGGTCTAGAAGCAAAAAGTGGTGTTAGGGATGGGTCCTGAGGAGAATCAACATTATCTTGCCTGGTAACTGCCTCAGGCATTACTGTTGCCTCAGGCGGTGCAAGGTTTATCTTCTCAGACAAGGGTGGAAAGCCTGATGGCAGCATGGGTCAGAGAGGGGATGTTGTCACTACTGGGGATGGGGAAGCTATTTCTTCTGGCAAACAAGGTTTATCAGAGTTTACAAACCCAGTGTTTTCAGCTTCTTAAGCGTCCTCCCACACATCCCCATTCCAAGTTGCAGGTTCCCATTCTTTTCCAATCAATGCCCTCACTTGGACAGCAGACACCTGGCAAGGCCGAGCATGAACCTTTTGTTGCAGGTCAGCCACTTTCATGATAAGACCTTGTTTCTGCTTTTCCACAATCTCAGCTATTCTCTACAGGAGATGAGATTTCTCACTCAGGGCAATCTTAGCAGATTTGAGGCTCAGTATCTTCTTCTGAAGCTGGGAGATAGAAGCCCTGAGTTCATCATTTTTTTTCATCACTTTGTTCAGTAAACTTAGGAGCCACGAACTAGTTTCATTATGTTCTGTGGTTCTCCACATATGGTGAAAGGTATTAGGTAAAGAGCACCTAAACTCCTTGCCTCTCATGAGCGGTGAATTGGGAGTGTCAAATGCATTTATTTTGCATAAATCTCTAAACGGTTCATGCCAAGGATTATCAGTGTTCTCCATACTATTAGAAGTAGAGTTGTTAGCATTTTGGGGTCTAATCATATGAAGCAGCCACCTCCAGAAACCCCCAAAACAATGAAAGAACTCTATCCTTAATATTCTCTTCCTCTAGAACAACTACTGGTACCAAAATCTGTATTAGTCAGCGTTCTCTAGAGGGATAGAAATATTAACTCACACAATCACAAGGTCCCAAAATAGACCATCTGCAAGCTGAGGAGCAAGGAGAGCCCATCCAAGACCCCAAATTGAAGAACTTGGAGTCTGATGTTTGAGGACAGAAAACATGCAGCACGGGAAATAGATGTAGCTTGAGAGGCTAGGCCAGCCTAGTATTTTCACATTTTTCTGCCTGCTTTATATTCTATCTATGTTAGCAGCTGATTAGATTGTGCCCACTCAGAATAAGGGTGGGTCGGCCTTTCCCAGCCCACTGATTCAATTATTAATCTCCTTTGACAACACCCTCACAGACACACCCAAGATCAATACATTGCATCCTTCAATCCAATCAAGTTGTCACTCAGTACTAACCATCTGAGAAGTGATACAGAAGCAAATGACAATAACAAAATCATCTGTTTCATGATATGTGAGATCTATTGATGCAGGCAAGTCTTGAGAGGCTAGATGCAAAGAATATGGTTAATTTATGTTAGTCAATCTCAACTTCCTGCGCCTGCAATTCCTACCTATTTCCGAATGCTTGGCTTAGAGCAAAAGTTTAATAATCCTGGCAGAGAAGAGTAGTATGATAAGTAAAAGCAGTGCTTTGAACAGTCTCACAGACTTGAGTTCATAACAATTGGATATAAGGGTTACAGAAGTCGAATATTAGGGTCCAAAATTCCAGAGAGAAAGGAGACATACAAATATGTGAGCTCCACAGTCAGCCCTTAACTCTCATGTAGAAGTTTTAACTCTCAGTGAAGATTTCCTCCCACCCTTTTGGCACTGAGGCAACCTACACTATAAGTGTAGCATCTCTTAAGGGTGAGCTATCAATATCACCCTAGGATCCAATTTCAGACTTCAGAGGACATTGTTTAAGGACTGTGGTAAACTAGAAGATGACTGTATTAGTCCGTTTTTGCACTGCAGTAATGAAATACCTGAGACTGCACTATTCTGCAGGTTGTACAAGAAGCATGGCACCATCTGTTTGGCATCAGGAAGCTTCCAATTATGGCAGAAGTTGAAGGGGAAGCAAGCACTTCACATGGCCAGAGCAAGAGGTAAAAACAGAGAGGAGGTACCCTACACTTTTAAACAACCACATCTCACAAGAACTCACTATCACGATGGCAGCATCAAGTCTGGATGGTGTTAAACGATGAGAAACTGCAAAACTGCCCCTATGATTCAATTCACCTCCAACCAGGCCCCACCTCCAACATTGGGGTTTACAATTCGACATGAGATATCGGCAGGGACACAGATCCAAACCATATCAATGACTGTGGTGTATTTAGTTTACATATCTGCCTTGATTTGGTACAGATCCAAATTGACCAGAAGTGATCTATACCCATGTTAATAACCATCTTCAGTATATGCAAATCAATAAATGGACTCACCACATAAGCAGAATTAAAAACAATGAAACTAGTATCATCTCAATAGACACAGTAAAAACTTTCAAGAAAATCTCATATCCTTACATAACAAACTCTTAATGGACGAAGAAACATACCTCAAAATAATAAGAGCCATCTATGACAAATCCACAGCCAATATCACACTGAATGGGGAAAATCTGGAACCATTCCTCTTGAGAATCGGAACAAGACAAAGATGTCCACTCTCACCACTCCTACTCAACATAGTACTGCAAGTCCTAGCCAGAGCAATCAGACAAGAGAAAAAAATAAGGCATCCAAATAAAAAAAAAAAAAAAGAAATCAAACTATCTGTCTTCACTGACAATATGATTCTATACCTAGAAAAATCTTAAGACCCCACCAAAAGGCTACTAGAACTGATAAACAATTTTAATAAGATTTCAGGATAAAAAAATCAATGTACAAAATTTAGTAGCATTTCTATACCCCAAAAGCATCCAGATTGAGAGTCAAATCAGGAACACAAACCCATTTTCAATAGCTATGAAGAAAATGAAATAACTAGGAATACAGCTAACCATGGAGATAAAAGATCTCTACAAGGAGAACTCTAAAACACTGCTGAAAAAAATCAGAGATGACACAAATAAATGGAAAAAACATTCGGAGCTCATGGATTAGTAAAATCAATATCGTTGAAATGATCATACTGCGCAAAACAACTCACAGATTCAATGATCTTCCTATCAAACTACCAATGTCATTCTTTCCAGAATTAGGAAAAAAAAAACTATTCTAAAATTTATATGAAACCGAAAAAGAGCCTGAATAGCCAAAGTAATTCTAAGCAAAGAGAATAAAGACAGAACCATTACATTATCTAACTTCAAACTATACCACAAGGCTACAGTAATTAAAAGAGAATGTTACTGGTACAAAAATAAGCACGTAGACAAATGGAATAGAATAGAGAACTCAAAAATAAAACTACACACCTACAACCATCTGATATTAAATTAGACCAATAAAAATAGGAAAAGTACACACTATTCAATAAATGGTGCCGGGACCACTAGCTAGCAATATGCAGAAGACTAAAACTGGATGCTTACTTTCACCATACATAAACATCAACTCAGGATGGAGTGAAGATTTAAAGATTAAAGATTTAAATGTAAGACCTCAAAGTATAAGAATATTAGAAGATAATTTAGGATATACACTTCTTGACATCAGCCTTGGCAAATAATTTTTTGCTAAGTCCCTAAAAGCTATTGCAACAAACATACAAGTAGGACCTAATTAAACTAAAGAGCTTCTGGACAGCAAAATAAACTATCAACAGAGTAAACAGATCACCTAAATAATGGAGAAAATATTTTCAAGCTATGCATCTGACAATGGTCTAATTGGTCTAATATTCAGAATCCATAAGATTGAACATGCAAAAAACAAATAACACCACTGAAGAACGGGCAAAGGGCATGAACAGACACTTTTCAAAAGAAGACATACAAGTGACCAACAAATACGTGAGAACAATGATGTACATCACTAATTATCAGAGAAATGTAAATCAAAACCACAATGAGATACCATCTCACACAAGTCAGAATGATTATTATTAGAAAGTCAAAATACAACAGATCCTTGCAAGGGTGTGGAGAAAAAGGAATGCTTATACACTGATGGTGGAAATGTAAATTAGTTCAGACCCTGCAAAAAGCAGTTTGGAGATTTCTTAAAGAACTTACAATAGAACTACCATTCAACCCAGCAATCCCATTACTGCATATATACCCAAAAGAAAATAGATCTTTATACCAAAAAGAGAGATGGAACTCCTAAGTTCATTGCAGCATTGTTCACAATAACATAGACATGTTTTCAACCTAGATACTCATCAATAGTAGATTCAATAAAGAAAATGTGCTGCATATACACCACGGAATACCATGCAGCCATAAAAAAAGATGAAATTATGTTATTTGCAGCAACATGGAGGCAGCTGGAGGCCATTGTCCTAAGCAAATTAACACAGGAACAGAAAGCCAATAACACATACTCTCACTTATAAATGGGAACTAAACATTGATTACACATAGTTGTAAACATGGGAACAATAGTCACTGTGGACTACTAGATGGGGGAGATAGGGAGGGGATAATGGGCTGAAAAACTGCCTAATGAGTACTATGCTCATTATCTGGGTGCAATATACCTATGTAATACACCTGAATATATACCATCTATATCTAAAATAAAAGTTGAAATAAAAAATTAGGAATTGAGAAACATATTAAAATTTCATAGAAATCAAAGTTATTAAAATTTCGTAGAAATCAAGCAGTATTCACTGGAGTACCTAAACTACAAGGTATCAAGAATTACTATAAAGTTCGAATAATAAAGATACTTTAGTATTAGTCGTAGACAAGACTATACATGAAAGAAGTAATATACTCTTTTAAATTCCAAAACAGACCCACACCTGTCAGTATTATCACTGGTATTACAAAATGACCTTAAAAGGCAGTGAGTAAATAAAGACACTTTAAATAAACAGTGCTGGATAAATAACCATATAAAAATGTGGTTACCCAATTTGTCCTCAATAAGAAAAACTACATAAATTGAAAACACAAGTAGATACTACCTATACGTACCGAAATGGCCAAATTGGAAGACAGATGATACTGAGTTTTGATAAAGGTATAAAGCAGCTGGAATCCTCTTACATGTTGGTGAGAGTATAAATTGGCACAAATACTTTGGAAAATTATTTGACAGTATCTTTTAAAAAATTGAGCATAGACATAATTTATAATTTATCTACATATTGTCCCTAAAGGAATGTGTATTTGTTTGCCAACAGACATGCACAAACATGTTTATAGCAGCATAACTCATAAAGGGCCAAATGTTAAAAGTAACCTAAATGTTTATTAATTACAGTAATTTCATATATGGAATCAAATCACAAACTGCAACTACTCACAATAAATGGATGAATCTTTAAAAATATAATAATGTCAAAAGAATCCAGGCATGAAAATGGAGTGTGATTTCATTTATATAAATTTAAAAATGTATATTTAGGCTTAGAAGCTAGAATATTGCTTATTCTCAGATGCAGTACTAATTAGCATGGGTCCCAAAGGAGGTTTTGAATGTTGATATTATATATCATGAATAACGTGTGGTGTCAAAGATGAGCTCATTTGGGAAAAATTAACGGAACTGTACATTTAACATTTGTTCAAATTTAGTTTTTAAATTGTAAAGTCTACCTAAATTAGCAATAATTTTCTTCATATGATGATAGATATTACTGATGCCTTTTACATTTTATTGTTTTTTGTTTGTTTGTTTTCCTTTTTGATAGACTTTGGTATTTTTCAAATTTTCAATTAAGAGGATAAATTGCTATTAATCTGAAACTAAAACTCTATATTGTATAAAATAAAAATCTACAACAATAGAAACAAAAATGGAGCAGTAGAGGGAAGAAGAATGTCATTTATATTGTTAGAGTAAGGAGCCATACACTTCTATGGACATATCTTGTTAAGTGGCTATTTCCACAGTATAATAGAATAAGGATGGTTGTATCAAAAAATGTTAGGTAAACATACATATGTAGTCACTTTTTTCTCCTTGCCCTTGGGCTTAAGGAAAGCACAACCCACGGTTTCATTGTAATATTTTCATTAGCAAAATATGCTTTTTAAATTTGCGTTGCTAGCTAATAGGTGAATTCAATCCAGACAGAAGTAAAAATACCAGAAAACGTAATGTAAATGTTCTATGATTCCAAGAGGTACTTTTTTGGTTCAATAAAAATAAAATTGCTTAAATGCAATATAAATAAGATGGAGTTAGGGACAAATGTGACCAGTTAAGCACATAACCTAGTAAAATACATAAAAGCTACATAACATTTTTCCTCAAGCCAAAAATTAAAAACACAGATTTTGATATTAGCTTATTTTCCGACTCTGGTAGATTTCACGGAGGGAAAATTTTGGAACAACTCTGAAAGACAAAAACAGACATAAAGGGTTATTATTCAGCCTAAGCCTGTGCTTTAGATAAAATACTTTTAGGCAATTACAATAAATTAATTCTTGTGTTATTCGTTTAAATGTGTTCCTCCTGTATTTGTAAACATAGAGTGTACATGTGAAAAATTAAGAAAATGTTCCTTGCCAATTGCAAGACATATAAATTGTGTTCCACAATTCCAATTATCCTTTCTCGAGACGCCAACGTCCCCCATCTGCCCTTTGGCTGTTATTGTGTGGAACATTTATTCTTGTTTCCAGAAACCTTTTAAATAAAAAGCCATTTAACCCAGTCATCTGAATCATAACATATGCTTTTTTAGGGTTATCAAAATATCTTACTTTTCTTTTAAAGACTCTTAACTGTGCAATTTCAGTTTTGGGCTTTCTTCCAAACATGACTAAAATAGAATTCCAGTTGCACAATAAACAAGAGTTGCTAATTGCCAATTTTGTAGAATTTCTTACAAAAAAAGGAATATCACTTCAAAATGTGTTTTGATGGAACTTTTTCCTCTCTATTCATCTTGTTTCTGATAACTCAGGACTATTTCTTTGCACTTGTGCATTTGAATTTTGCCTATGTTTTGAAAGAGAAGTTTCTTTTGTTTAATTTTCTCTTCACTAACTACATTTTCTGTCTTTCTATTCTAGAGTTAGAACTGTTGCAATTTTCAAACTTTGTAATTTATCTTCACAACATTATGCTTACATGTTCATCTTCAAGCAGAAATTGAGTAAAATTCTGAAAAGTTATGATTAAACAAATGGCATTAACAATGCAATCAATAGAGTTTATGCTTCCAGCTGTCTATCAGTAGGTTGACATTATCTTGTTTTATTTTTATTTATGTTAACTCCTCTGGAATTTTATGTGCTCAAATTTGCGATGAAGAGTTATCACTGAGAATGACTGTTGGTGATTAAAATAAATCTAAACAGGTTTTTCTGTTATTAAATATGGTTTTCATATTACAGATTAGTTCACCTCTGTAGCCCATATGAAAAATTAGGAGAATTAAGAATAGACATGAGATTAACTATATATTAAGAACATAGGGAGAAATAGTTATTAATAAGATCACTTAAATGCAACTCTGATATCTACTTCAATTAATTTGTTTCTTAAGAACATTATGAAATTATTTTATACTATATACATGTTAGATGCTTAATGTAAAAGCTCCTAAACTAATTTCCCCATTAGCTTTCTCAGAATACAGAATTATTTGTAGATCTGGTGACTGCAAAGGAATCAGTTAACTCAGAAAGTCTTTGTGTATTGTTTTTTGCTGGGGACAATTTCACTTCAACCTCTGATATTTCTTCCACTTGTATTTCAGATATAAGATTATAAATCACTTTAAAAATCATGGATTCCTTAAACTAAGTAAAATTCCTTATACGTCTCCTTAACTGTCTTGTATTTTCTGATTAGCAAGGTGAAACCACGAAACTTGTAAAAATGTTTTAATTTCAGGCTCTTCTTAATGGACTGTAATCTTGTTCAGGCAGGATATTTGTCCATATTTCCAGGAGCTAAACACTTTGATGTTCTCTCTCTCTCTCTCTCTCTCCCCCTCTCTCTCTCATCTATCTGTTTCTATCTGTGGATCTATCTTATGTCATCTATTATTGACGTGTAGATAGATAATAGCTAAATATAAATATGAATAAATGTATTAAGTGACAGGCAAATACTTTATGTGAGCTTTTGAGTGATGGAGGGATTCTGGATAGCAAAACTAAAGTGAGAATGATTATAACTGGGAGTTTGTAACTCCTATCAGAGCATAAATATCTAAAATAACTAAATTCTAAGAGAAGGAAGCAAAATTCTGAGGCAACTCAGGTCAAAAGTGGCTTAAGACATATTTGGATAAAATATGTTTTGGAGCCGGAGATGGATCCATATAAACAGGCCAGAAAAAGGAGCCACTGCTGATGATGCGGAGGCCAAGGTCAGCTCCGCTATTTCCAGGAAGCAAAGAGGAAAACTAGTTTTTGAGCATTACATGACTAGTACCTACTTCTGTTCCAAGCTAGAGAGGCAAAGCCAGATATTGGCTTACAGTTTTAGTCAAAAAGAGAACATGTTGGAAGTTGGAATTGTGGGGTCTGCCAATATCTCTTCCTGTCTTTAAGCAAAGTCTATGGCACAGCTCCTGATTATGTAAAACTGAGCCAGTATTTATCCCAGTTTCAGAGGCTATTTTCCTGGGACAGTACAGGCCACTCTGCTAATACAAACCATGAAGTGAGGCAGTGAAGTGCCGGTCAACATAATTACAAATAATTGTTATAAAATATAAAGAGCTAGACTTTTAAACGGGGTAGTGAGAAATTGTTTGGAACACGTAATAGGAAGAAAGAAGGCAATTACCGCGCTTTAACACAGCCCTTAACACAGGTGACGTGAAAGAATATAAACAGCTTCCGGTTGGGAAGCCTGCCAAATAGACCGTGTCTTCAGGGACCTGTCAGATGTCAGTTCAGGCAGGATTAAGGGGAATGTTCACAGGACAGCTGAGGATATATAGAGGGACATTGCTAATGGCAGCTTGTCAGTTAGAGACAGTGCACAAATAATGGTTTTAAAAGGGGGGAGGAATAGAGAATTAAGGTAGATTAAGTGTGCAGAATAGAATCTAAGTGTATCAACAACCTGGGGTGTTGGGATTTCTAGTGTTATCCATGGTGAATAGAATGCTTTTCATAATGGCCTGTCCTCTGGTTCTTTTGAAGGAGTGGTTTGAAAACAAAAGAAATGCCTCGGGTTATGCAATAAGTGTTCAAGGGAAACATGGATGTGGATAATTTTAATTACATCAACTTCATGTGTGTATTCTTTTAAAATCAATCTGCATGAAATTGCTGTTTAAAGAAGGTACAGTGTTCCCTTTCCTACCTTTTCTTTCAAAACTGCCATGTTTCTGTTTCAAAAAAGAAAGGCAGGCTCCTCACATATCCTTAATCTTATCATTGTGCTGTATTCTGGAGTGAAAACAAAGCAACAAACAACTATACAAAAAAAGCAAAAAAAAAAAAAAAAAATAAGAGAACCCTTTGAAGGTACCAAACTATAATGACACTTTGATATTGATATTGATGTTTCAATAGTAAGTAATTCTAAAGACAGTAATTCTAAAGACCTCATAACAATTTGTCTTATGCCTTCAGGCTGCTATAACAAAATGCACTAAAATGAGTAGCTTTTAAACAGCAGAAATTTCTTTCTCACAGTTCTAGAACCTGCAAATCCAAGATTAGGGCGCCAAGTCAGGGTGTATCGTCACCTTCTGGTTGGGGACCTCTTTTGGTTGCAAACTACTGACTTCTCCCTGTGTCCTCACGTGGTGAAAGGGTCAAATAAGCTTCCTCAGGCCTCAGTATAAGGGCACTAACCCATTTATGAGTGCCCTGTTCTCTGGACCTAATTACCTCCCAAAGGCACCAACTCCAACGAGTTTTCATCTTGGGGATTAGGATTTTAACATATAAATTTTGGAGAGAATTACAAGTGGAAAACACAATTCCACTTTTAAGACAGGTAGTTTTCAATTCTTTGTTTTCTACACATTTAAAGCGGGCATCAAGTCTATTGTCAGCTAACGGATCATTAAAAATAGATGCAGATAAAATAAATGGTGTGATTTTTTTGCTTACAACTCACAAGTTATTCAAGGAAATAAATGGCATTCTACATGTCCTAATTTATATGAATCAAATTACTAAGTTTTAGTGTCTATAGAAACAGAAAAAAGAAGTAGAACTAA
This sequence comes from Homo sapiens, assembly GCF_000001405.40. Lineage (NCBI taxonomy): Eukaryota > Metazoa > Chordata > Mammalia > Primates > Hominidae > Homo > Homo sapiens. The sequence goes on along the minus strand of NC_000005.10, from coordinate 26,759,949 downwards.
AGTTTATAAAAGATGCTGTCTCAGCAACACATGAAATTTATTCAAGTATATATGTATGAAATGTAAGCAAGGCAATTAACCTTAGCTCATAAAGGCATTGCTTTTAAAAGTTTTTAAAATGATTAATAGCTATGTATCTAACTTTGAAGAATATTTATATTATCTTAATAAATCACTTAATTATAAAGGTCAAGCTATCAAGAAGAAAGTTTCTAGTGGTTTGACTCATGTCACTAGAACAAATAATAAAATTGACTTTGTTCAGAGAATTATGATTATTTAAATAATTTGAAGCATTTAATAGAAACTTGTGGTATATAATTTTAAGAAAAGTATAATAAAAATAGAATTTTGGGAAACAATAAACTAGGTACATTAAAATTGCTCTAAAATTTTTGAGTTGTTTGAATCAGAATCCAATTAAAACTCATAAAAATCCAATTAAAACTCATAAAAGCCATGTCTTATATGATATACCTCATGTTTCATTTAATCTATAACAATATTCTTTCTGTTTTTGGTAGAGTTCCTCATCTCCTCCCTATGGTTGAATGCATTCTGTTTCAATTTTATGAATAATATATTTACCTGTACAATTGCCCACTTTATCTGAATATCCAGGAAGTATCTCAAAATTAATATGGCTAATAAAGAATTTATGATGTACTGGGACCCCAATACTATTTCTACCAGTAACTGTTCTATCTCTGTTAATGGTACAATCCACATTTTTGTACAAGGACAAAACTTTAGAATTATCATGAATGCTCACTGTCTTTATCCCCACTGTTTCAAACCTAGAAGATCTGTCATTTGTACCTCGAAAACATACCCCATCCTGTTCTCCACCTCTCCACTGCCAAAACTCAAATTTAACCAACAACTGTTTATGGCCTACACTTGTTTATATCAACCTTCCTGTGCCATTATTTATTTCTGATAATATATATTATCCACAAAATATAGAGTTTTCTTATAGAAATTAAAATAAGATGATGTGTTTCCTATATTTAATACCTTCTGCTAGATTCTCATTTTCTTTAGAATTAATACCTTCTTTAATGATTTCCCTTCTACTATCCTCTCTAAAAACTTCTATCCACCCCACCATTTGACACTTTCTATCACATCCATTTCATTTTCTTGTCTTTATTGTAAAGGTTGATCATAGATATATTCAGTTACATGAACGCCTGTCACTCCCAAACCACGACATCATCCCCATGAGAGCTGAAGTCTTGACTCTCTTGTTAAAAATTGTACTTTAAGTTTCTTTAAAAGTAGTTAGCAGAAAATGAGAATTTGGTTAACAGCCTTTTTGAGATATGTCATATAACATAAAATTCACCTTTTTAAAGTGTACAACTTAGTTGATTATTGCATATTCAGAGTGAGGAACCATTCCCATTATCTAAGTTTAGAATATCTTCATCACAACAAAAAGAAACCTCATACAAATTATCATCACTTTCCACTAATTTACCTTCTGTTTCTATGAATTTGTCCATTTCATGCACATGCAATAACTCAATATATACCCCCTTTCATAATTTCAACGTTCATCCATGTAATAGCATGTATCAACACTTCATTTTTAATTGGTAAATAATAGTCCAGAATATAAATATACAACATTATGTTTATCCATTCACCAGCTGGTTCAGTGACATTTCCAATTTTATGTTATCGTGGATAATGCTGCTATGAAAGACTGTATACAAAATTTTCATAGACTGCTTTTAGTTCTCTTAGGCATATAAGTAGGAGTAAAATTGCTGAATCATACAATGACTAACATTTTGAGGAACTGCTGAATTGTTTGTGAAAGTGCCTGTGCCATTTTTACATTCTCGGCAGCAATGCAGGAGAGTTACAATTTCTCCACACCCTTACCATCCTTGCCAGACTGGTTTTTCTTTGTTTGTTTGTTTTTTGTTGTTTAGTTGTTTTTATTTTTTCTTATTTTTTTTTTTTTTTTTGAAACAGAGTCTCACTTTATTGCCAAGGCTCAGGTGCAGTGGTGCTATCTTGGTTCACTGCAACCCTTACACCCCTGCCTCATGAGTTCAAGCAATTCTCCTGCCTCAGCCTCCAGAGTAGCTGGGATTACAAGCACTCACAACCATGCCCAGCTAATTTTTGTATTTTTAGTAGAGACAGGGTTTCACCATGTTTGCCAGGCTGGTCTTTAACTCCTAGCTCAAGTGATCCGCCTACCTTGACCTCCCAAAGTGCTGGAATTACAGGCATGAGCCACCATGCATAGCCTTTGCCAGACTAATTTTTGTCTGTCTCTTTGATTACAGTCACTTTGATGGTTACTAAATAATATCTTATGGTGGTTTGGTTTGTATGTTACTAATGACTAATGATGTTGAGCATTTTGTATGTGCATATTGGCCATTACTATTTCTTCTTTGAAAAAAAATGACAATTTCAATCATTTTTAGTTGAGCTGAATGTATTATTAAAATTTTTGAGTTTAAAGAGTTCTCTATATTTTGGACACCAGATCATTAGATAGATTATTTGCAAATATATTTTTCATTCCGATCCTGTCTTTTCGTTTTCAAGTGATGATCTTTGAAGCACAAAAGTTTTTAATTTTTGTGAAATATAATATGTGTACTATATATTTTTCTTTTGTCACTTGAGCTTTTAGTGCCACATCTAAAATCCCATTGCCTCATTCAAGGTCTAAACATTTACTTTTATGTTTTCTTCTAAAAGTTTTATAGCTTTAGCTCCTGCATTTATGTTTATGTTGCATTTTAAATTCATTTTTGTATATGGTATGAGAGAGGGGCCCAACTTCATCTTTCGCATTTGGAGATCCAATTATTTTAGCACATTTTGTTGAAAAAAAGAACTATTTTATGATCATTAAGTTATTTTAGCAGCTTTATAAAAATTAATTAATCATAAAGGTAAGGAATTTATTTCTAGGCTTTCAATGATATCCTATTGATCTATAAGATCAACAGATTTGATATGTTTGATGATATTCTGTTGTGTTTATCTTTAAAACAATACCACCCAGTCTTGATTACTTTACTTTGTAGTAACTTTTAAAACTGGGATATGTGAGATTTTAAATTTTTTTATTATGAATGTTTTGAGTATTTTGGATCTAGCACAGTGTCATATAAATTTTTAAATTTTTATGGTTATTTTTTAAAATAAAGCCAGCTGAAATTTTGATAGAAATCTTGTTCAGTCTGTAGATAAATTCTTGCAGCCATCTTATCAATGTTAAGTCTTCCAGTTCACAAACATGACATGTATTTCCAATTATTTACTTATTTTTTTATATAAAAACATAAACATCTTTAAACAATATTCTTTAAGTGTTGTATTGGCTTTGTTAAGTGAACTCCTAATTATTTTATTCTTTATGATATTTTAAATGGAAATGCCTTCTTAATTTAATTTCCAGATTGTTCCTTGCTGGTGTATAGAAATACACTTTATTTCTGTAATATGTTGAGTTTGTATCCTGCAAATTCTGAAAAGATTTATTAATTATTTTGGTTATTATTTTTAAGATTCTACAGGAAAGTTAATATAATCTGAACAGAGGTAGTTTTACTTCTTCCAACCCAATCTAAATGTTTCTATTTATTTTTCTGGCCTAATTGTCCGGCCTGTAATATCTAATAAAATGTTGACTTAAAAGGATGAGAAATGACATTCTCTGCCTCTTCCCATTCTGAGGAGGAAAGTGTTCAGTCTTTTGCCATAGGTTGTCAGCTGTACATTTTTCATAGGTGCTCTATTATAGGTTGAAGAATTTCCTTTCTATTTTTATTTGATTGAGTGTTTGGATAATTAAAGGTTGTTGCATTTTGTCAAATGATATTTCTTCATCAATAAAATGATCACATTGTTTTGTCCTTTATGCTATTAATGTGATGTTTTACATTGATTTGTTTAAATTAAGCCAAACATGCATTAATAATATAAATCCCACTTGGTTATGGTGTATAATCCGTTTAAAAACAACTCAGTTTTCTAGAATTTTTCTAATGAATTTACACTTACATTCATAAGGGACATTGATCTTTACTTGGCTTATCTTCTTTTTCAAATCTTGATCTTCCACATAATGCACACTGATGTGGAAAATTCACTGGAATGTATTAATAGTAAGGTTCATTTGGCAGAAAAAAAAACAATGAGAAAATTTGAAGATAGTTTATGTGAGAACATCCAGTCTGAGAAACAGAAATAAAAAATAATGGTAAAAAGTGAACAGAGACTCAGAGACATGTTGTGTATTACCAAACATAGCAGGGGGACCTAAGTTATCAGAGTCCCAGGAGGAGCTGAAAGAAAGATGAAGAAAAAATTTCTGAAGAATAGCCAACACCTTCCCAAATTTGATGAAGAATATTGCACTCCACATCCAAGCAAGGCTTCTTGAAAAGCCTCACACCAGCTCTTCCTCTTCCAGTGGCCTGGGACTAGATTGCTGAATTTCACAGTGATTGTGGATGTTTACTTTGGTTTCAAAAATGACTACAGAGCTGAAAAGAGGAGATGTTGGTAGGGGAAGTTAAAACACCATAAAACACTATTGTCGCTGAAATTTATCCATTTTTATTGAGTAAATGTTCCTTGGATTGTCTCAAATCCTTCAGATTCAATGCTACTTCTATCAAACTACCAACATTATTTTTCACAGAAATAGAAAAAACTACTCTAAAATTCATATGGAACTATAAATACCCCAAATGACCAAAGCAAATCTAAGCAAAAAGAACAAAGCTAGAGTCATCACACTAACTGAATTCACACAATATTATAAGGTTATAGTATGTAAAACAGCATGGTACTAGTACAAAATAGACACAGAGACCAGTTGAACAGAACTGAGAATCCAGAAGTGAGGCCGCACATCTAGGGCCATTTGATATTTGACAAAGTCAACAAAAACAATGGGGAAAGGACTGCACACTTAATTAATGGTACTGGAATGGCGGGATAGCCATATGCAGAAGGATAATACTGCACTCTTACCTTTCAACATATACCAAAGTTAACTCAAGATGGAATAAAGGCTTAAATGTAAGACCTTAAACTATAAGAATCCTAGAAGAAAACCTAGGAAGCACCATTCTGGACATTGGTCTGGAGAAAGAATTTATGACTAAGTCTGCAAAAGCAATTGTAACACAACCACAAATTGACAAGTAGGACCTAATTACGCTAAAGAGCTTCTACACAGCAAAATAAACTATCAACAGAGTAAACAGACAACCTACAAATGGGATAAAATATTCACAAACCATGCATCCAGCAAGATCTAATATCCAGAATCTATAAGGAATTTAAACAACTGAAAACACACAAAAAAGAACCCAATTAAAAAATGAGCAAAGGACATGAACAGATGCGTCTCAAAAGAAGACATACAAGAGGCCAACAAACATATGACAAAAAGTCCCACATCGCTAATCATCAGAGAAATGCAAATAAAAACCACGATGAGATAACATCTCATGCAGTCAGTATGGCCATCATTAAAAAGTCAAAAAAGAAAAAAATTCAACAGATGCTTGTGAGGTTGCAGGAAAAAAAAGGGAATAATTATACACTGTTGGTGGGAATGAACATTAGTACAACTGCTATGGAAAGCAGTTTGGAGAATTATGAAAGAGCTCAAAACAGAAGTACCGTTTGACTTAACAATCTCATTGCTGGGTATACATACAAAAGAAAACAAATCATTCTACCAAAAAAAAAATACAGCCACATGTATATCACAGCAGTATTCACAATAGCAAAGACATGGAATCAACCCAAGGTATCCATCAATGATAGACTAAATAAAGAAAATGTGGTACATATCCACAATGGAATACTACACAACAGTAAAAAAGTACAAAATAATTACGTTTGCAGAAGCATGGACACAGCTGGAGGCCATTACCGTAAATGAATTAACACAGAACCAGAAAACCAAATACACATTTTCACTTATAAGTGGGAGCTAAACATCGGGTACTCATGGATATAAAGATGGCAACAATAGACACGGAGCTACTAGAAGAGTGACTGGGGGAAGGGGACAAGGGTTGAAAATGTATTGGGTACTATGCTCAGTACCTGGGTGAACATCACACAATATGCCCAGGAAATGAAACTGCACATGTATCCCCAGAATCTAAAATAAAAGTCTGAAAAAGAGTTCTGAAAACATTGACAATGACTTTTTTTTTTTTTTGCCAGTGTTATTACTTTTGTGAAAGAGCAGGTTTTCGGACATTATTATGCCACCCTTCTAGAGATGTTTCCCCTTACAATGATTACATTTTGTTCTTGTTTTTAAAGGCATGACTATTGGCCAGACACAGTGGCTCATGCCAGTACTCCCAGCACTTTGGGAGGCTGAGGCAGGATGACTGCTTGAGCCCAGGAGTTTGAGACTAACTTAGGCAATATGGTAAGAGTTTATCTCTCCTAGAAGTAAAAATTAAAAGAAAAAAAAAAAGCTGGGCTTGGTGGTGTGTTCCTATAGTCTCAGCTACTCAGGGAGCTGACATGAGAGCATCCCTTGAGCTTAGGAGTTCAAGGCTACAGTGAGCCAAGATTGCGCACTCCAGTCAGGGTGGCTGAGTGAGATCCTACTTCAAAAAATAAAAATAAAAAGGCATAAATATTATTTGGTAGCAATATTTCACCTACATTAGTGAAAGACATTTAAGAAGTTTGTGTAGTTATTGCAGAAATATTAAAAAGTTAATTAGAATAGTAATACCTTAAATAAAAAATATTATCTCAAAAATAAAATGATAATGCAATACACTTGTTTGCCTCCATACACACAGTAGCATACACGTACTCCAATACATGTATTTATCTTTTGGAGACAAATATACTCCATGTAATTTTTCCCTATTACAAAGTCAACTTATTTTTAAATCAAGTTGTTTTTCCAGAAAGTGATATGTGTTTTATTTCCAGGAAGTAAGAAAATAAATTTAAAATAGTTTAAAATCAGTGTAATTTCTTTTATATATTTTATTCAACTCTATATTTATTTGTTTTTTCTCATATTTCTTCCTCCAGTTTTCTACTTAGGCTTACAGAATGCTAACAGTTAATTCTACTCATGTTGTTTTGAAAAACAAGTATCTTCAACTAGATTTGTTATAAGTGGGACTGGACACTAATAATTAGCTCCATGACTTGCACAAATGACACACCAGTATATTAAGAAAGATTTCAAATCTATGGCAATATTTAAAACACATTTAATTCAGTTTCTTATTTTCCCTCTCTAGTTTCTATCAGCTGTGTGCTTCAGTCCCTTACCCTAGGAATGAACATAATATAGATGCAGGTTGATTGGTAGATACAGATGAAAATATCTTATTTGTATTGTGTCTAGAGTTTTTTTAATTAGATATATAGAAAAACTATCAATAGAAAGTGAAGAAAATAAAGATGCTTTGACCAAGAGGAGAAAGTTTGCAATAGTCTTTTTGATGCATGAGGTAGTACATTAGGGCTCTCCAGAGGAAAATATATATATATATATAAACATACACACACATATGTATATTTAGAAAGAGAAATTTTTTGTAAGGAACTGGCTCATGTGATTATGGAGGCTGACAAGGCCTAATATGTGCAGAATAAGGCAGCAGGCTGAAGACCCAGGAAAGTTGACGTTGATGGTATAGTTCCAGTCAGAAGGTAGGCAGGCTCAAGATCCCAGAAGAGCCAATGTTTCTATATTTCTGTTCCAAACTGGAGGCAAGAACAAAGCCTGTGTCCCAGTTTGAAGGCCATGAAGCAGAAGGAATTCCTATCGCAGGAGGCTCAGCCTTTTTGTTCTAGGCAGGCCTTTGATGGATTGGAAGAGGCCCACCTACATTAGGGAAAGCAATCTGCTTTACTCTGTCTACTAATTTAAATGTTAATCTCATACAAAAATGCCTTTGCAGAAACATCCAAAATAATGTTGGACCAAGGATCTATGTACCCTGTGACTCAGTCAAGATGAAATGGAAAATTAATCATCACAGATGGAAATTGTTTACTAAAATGTAGCAAATTTTCTAAGCACTATAGTCCTATTTAATGGCAGCAGTCACAAATTTAAAGTGAGAATAATTGTCTTTCATCCAGCCACCCTCAACATTTATAGTTCAGACCGAAGGCAGAGATTGTGATTCAACCGAGTTGGGTTTTTCCTAGATAATATAATGGCAAGACTGGTATGCTTTTTTTTCTGTAAAAAGCCACATAGTAAATACGTTATGTATATGACCCATATTGTGTATGTGACAACTACTCAGCTCTGCCATTGTTGCATGAAGCAACATAGGAAATAACTCAGAAAATGGGGAGTGTGGTTGTGCTCCAATAAAGCTTTATTTATAAAAACATGTGATTAGCTGATTTGGGTCCATAGGCTGTATTGCCAAAACTGTGATATAATGGATGAGAAGAAAGGCTGTTGAGTGGGTGCTTCCAAAGTTATGTTTGCCCTGGAAAATTTTGGAAACATCAATTTCAGTATAATGCATGAATAAATTTTGTATTTTTGATAATTGAATGTATTTTAATATAAAAGTAGTTTATGTTCAGCAATATTAAAGTGAAAGAAAAAAGAACAACAATATAGACTTTCTCTATTAAGAGAGAATATTTTCCTCCCTGAGACTGGTTGAAAATTTTTCAATGCTTATATATGCATCAGGCAGAGTCCCAGAGAAGAGTAGGCTATATATACATCTAAACATACATACAGTATCTATGTGCATTGTTTGGCTTTGTTTTTCCTTTCCATATTTCTTTCTTTCTTTCTTTCTTTCTTTCTTTCTTTCTTTCTTTCTTTCTTTCTTTCTTTCTTTCTTCCTTTCTTTCTTTCTTTTTTTTTTTTTTAAGATAAGGTCTGACTCTGTCACCCAGGCTGGAGTCTAGTGGTGACATCACCTCTCACTGCATCTTTGACCTTCCCAGGCTCAGTTGATCCTCTCACCTCAGCCTCCTGAGTAGCTGGGACTAGAGGCACACACCACCACACCCAGCTCACTTTTGTATATTTTTTGTAGAGACAGGGTTTCACCATGTTGCTCAGGCTGGTCTGAAAAGCTCAAGCGACCTTGGCCTCCCGAAAGTGCTGGGATGACAGGCATAAGCCACTGTACCCAGCCTGCAGTTTCTACCTTCAGAAACAAAGCATCTACTTTTCCATCTAACTTTAAAACAAAGCTTCTAATACATATGAAACTGAATTGTAATATATTCCTAAGCTATATATTAATACATCAACATTGTATTCAAGTGTTAACAAGAAGGTAAAGTTATTTGTATATAGAGACACCATCACAGTAATTGCTTTAATTTTTGCTAAGAGTGAAAAATGCAATTTCCTCTCGCCAATAATCCCAAATGATTCTCTGTATTATAATAAACATTGACTTTGTTTCTTTATTTAAAATTATAATTTTGCATAGCTTCAATAATAAGAATTAAAATCCTACAGCCTTGATTACTCTTTCGGATTTCTAGACAATCTGACTACTTCAAGAACATTAAGACAATTGATGTAGGAACAAAGCAAAATAATCAAGACAACTAATTTAAAATAGCAGGAGGTTGGAAAAATATTTGCTGAATCCAACCACATTTAATCTTTTGTAAAGACAAGCTGACAATTTTGATTTGTACAGAAGTCTAAGACATAAAATAAGATTTACCTTTGGATGCTACATAATGATATTTACCACATAAATAAGATATACAGATGGTTATAAGAAGGAGAAGAAAAAAGAGGAGGGGGAGAAAGGTGAAGAGGCAGAGAAGAAAGGGGAAGAGAAAGAGAAGAAGAAAAGGAGGACGAGAGAAAAATGGGAATGGGAGGAGACAAAGAAGAAAGGAGAAGGAGAGAGTGAAAGTGGAGAAGGGAAAGAGCAATGTGAAAGAGGAGAAGCTAAAGCAGCAGCAGCAAGCAAATGCAGCAGTAGTAATAGAAGAAGGAGAAACAGCAGAGGAGAGTGAGGATAAACAGGAAAATGAAGGGAGAGAAGGAAGATAAGAACAAGGAAAAAAAGCTGGAGCAGTGTGAGTAACAGATTTGCAAATTTTCTCTCTTATCTTACATGTAAATTAGATTCAGGAATAAAAGTCATTAACACTGCGTTTTCATAATCATATCAAAAATACTGACAATAAGTCTTATGACAGATATAAATATTCGATCTCTTTTACAAAGTAAAAAATGAGAGCTTTGTGAAAAAAGCAACATAATTTCATAAATATCTAATCAATAAAATGGTTTTTTCATCCATTTTTCAAAATTACATTGTATAGATTGTCAAATATGAGAAATCAATTACTTGCAAACAATAGTATACATATTTGTATGTATATCTGTATATAGATATCACATGGTTTGCAAATGTTTGTGTATATATTTACACACATATTTAAAATATATGTATATTTAAATAAAATATCCATTTAAAAATAAAATATATTATATGGATATAAAATATCTATATATCTATCATATATATGATCTATATTTTATATCAGAGATCTTTGAAATGATTTCTTTAGTGCAACATTAACTTTCAATAATTTGAGGGATCTACAAAAATCTTTTTTACTCTGATTTTTAAATAATAGATATCTGAGTTGAAGGTAGTAAAAATAATATAAACTGTCTTTTTCTTGGGAGAATTATCACAGTTTATAGTTCAGTATCCATGTTTGAATTAAGTTATTTGAGGAGAGTTTAATAAATAAACTCAACACATTAGCTAGAATGGGATAAGGAAGCCGCAAAGGAAAGTGCAGCCCTATTTGGCTAGTCACAACAGGACGGTCCCACCAACCTCAGGACTGAAGAGAGAGGGGCCCAGAAAAGAGACAGGTACAAAATATCCCAGGCGCCTTTAGAGACCAGCATATATTTTTTCCGCAACCCACATTCTGGTACATTGACTTTACTTTTGTAATTTCCAGTGTGAAATGAATACCTAAGTTTTTCTTTCTTGTTACATAGTATGTATTTTAAATTCAGCACACACATGCATACCTGCAAACTCCATATACATATGCACACACACACACACACACACACACACACACACAAGACTCCTAAAGAATAGCAATGCTTCTCATAGAAATTAAAGCCTCCATTCTTATTGCAAAAGAATACTAGTTTATAATTAACATAAAATATTTACTACTAACTGACTGCTACTTTTACCTAAATATAAAATAATATAATCAAGCTTGTGTACACATAACAAGGAAGTCATCATGTTTTTCTTTTTGATTAAAAGTGTCTGTCCAGTTTTTTTCATCTCTTGCCTTTCTAAAGGACCTTTTCTTTAGTGTATCTCAAAATGGCTTTATCTGGTGTATAGGAAAATAACTGTTACAGAAACACAGGCCATTTGAATACTGCATCTTAAATAATACAGTCCTGAGCCAAAATTTGCATCCAAAGTCAACGGGAGGGATGAGGTGGCATGCAGGTTGGTCTCCGTGTCACATGTTCCCCTTAGAGAATGTTTGCTCTTTTTATAGAGCTATGCTGTGGCTCCTGGAACCATCTATCCCCTAGGCTTCTTCTGGAAATGCTGACCCCACACACTAAACAATCTAGTTTTGAAGCAAACAACATCCTTGCATTTAGCAGGCTTAACTATGCATTCTGAAATTATGATAGCACTTTATAAACACACCACACACAACTACATGTGTAGAGCATACACAGAAATAAACACATCAGTGTACTCTTAGAACAACTATGTTCTCCCACACAATGATAATTCATTTTCTAGAAGTGTGATTTCTGATTCCTCAATCATGTTTTTATTTTTTAATTTTCATTTAATTTTAATTGACAAATAACAATTGTATATATTCATGTGGTACAATGTGATGTTTCAGTATATGTATATATTGTGTAATGATCAAATCAGACTGAGTGATCCATCACCTCAAATATTCATGATTCTTTTGTGGTGAGAACATTTAAAATATACATTTTAGCAATTTTGAAACATACATTATTATTAGTAATAGTCATTGTGTTGTATAATAAAACACCAGAACTTATTTTTATTACCAAAAGGAAACTTTGTACCTATTGACCAACATCTCTCATTTCTGCATCTACCCCCTTCCCCCAGCTCTTGGTAACCACCATCCTACGGAACACTTTCATAAGCTTGACTCTTTTCCATTCTACATATAAGTGAGGTCATATGTTATTTGTTTCTCTGTTCCTGATTTATTTCACTTAATATAATGTCCTCTAAGTTCATCCATGTTGTTACAAATGACAGAATTTTCCTTATTTAAAGGGTGAATAATATTTCATTGTGCATACACACCACAGTGTTAAAATCCATTCATTCATTCGTGAACACTTAGGCTGTTTCCATATCATGACTCTTGTGAATAATGCGGCAAAGAACAAGGAATGCAGCATCTCTTCGACACGTTGATTTCAATTTATTTGGGTATATACCCAGAAGTGGGATTGCTGAATCATATGATAATTCTAATTTTAGTGTTTTGAGGAAGCTTCACACTGTGTTTCAAAATGGCTGTACTAATTTACAATAATGTTAACAGTGTATAAAAGTTCCGTTTTATCTATATCCTCAGCAATACTTATCTTTTATTTTTTGAAGATAGCCAATTTAGCAGGTTTGAGGTGATATTGCATTGTGATTTTAATTTACATGTCTCTGATGACTGGAGATGTTGAGCATTTTCAATATATCTGTTGGCCATTTAGTCTTCTTTTGAGAAATGTCTATCCCTGTCCTTTGCCCATTTTTAAATAGGGTTACTTGCTTTCTTAATTAAGCAGTTTGATTTTCTTGGTTTCTTTCTGGATATTAGTCCCTTATCAGATATATATATTGCAAATATTTACCCTTTAATTTGTGTAACCCACAAATTCTTCTTATTCTTTTGTTTCCTTTTCTTTGAAGAAGTTTTATGTTTGATAAAACATAAAAACTTTTATATTGTTTAATATTAAAGTCAAAGTAAGTCTTATGTAAAAGTATCAGAGAAAATTACAACTAATGTTAACTTAGTTTTTAAATTCAGTAATGATAGTCTGTAATTTATATTCATAATGTTATCACAAGAAGTAATAATATAAAATATTTTTTAAAATATATAAACATAATTTTAAAAAAACAAATTCTTAAATTTAATTACCTCTATAAGAGCTAAATTAAGTGTGTCCTACATTAAAAGAAAAAAATTTTTAAAGAAAGAGCAGTTGTCATTGAACACAATAGTGAATATGGTAGTATTAGTCATACAGAATACAATAAAAGTTGAAACAAGTTTTAATTTAAACTGAAAAAGAAGCTAAGATTTAGTTCTGCAAATTATGCCATTATAATATAATTTTGTTATTTTAAAACTTGTAGTCCTTTCAATTAAAAATACCCTGTTAATAATCCAGATGTTTCACTTTAATTATACCAAGCAACTAAATATTTTGAAACATCTGTTTGGCTTTCCAATTTACAACACTCAATTTTGACTTTTAAATTTAAATATAAAATTTTCTAATGAGAAATATGGGGGATAAACATGCATATTCATAAGCTTATAAGCTCATAGTTTCATGTATAAAATCTCCTTAAAATCCTAACCTCCAAATAAATTAATAAGTACCTGCAGTAGGCCTTTTAAAACTACATGTAATAACAGATTTTTTTCTCAGTCTAATATCTATCTGTATATATGTAGGTTGCATATATACCCACACATATATACTTATATACCTGTACATATAGATTATTTATACATACCTACATATATACACATAGATGTATATATGTATGTATATATCTATGTATGTGTGTATATATGCATGTATGTATATATGTAGGTATGTATTTATATTTATATTTAGATACATTCCTACATATATACATAGATTATATATAAATACATATCTACATATATACACATATACACACACATACATACCGATATAGAAAATTAGGGAAAAAATGGCTATCTACAGGACAAAGAAAACCAAAAGAACGGTGTCCCACAGTTAGTAACACTGAAATCTATGTCATATGTTTAAAAAATCCATTTTGCTTTGGGATGCTGAAGCGGGCAGATCACGAGGTCAGGAGATCGAGACCATCCTGGCTAACACGGGGTTTAGTAGAAACCCCGTCTCTACTGAAAATACAAAAAATTAGCCGGGTGCGGTGGCGGGCGCCTGTAGTCCCAGCTACTAGGGAGGCTGAGGCAGGAGAATGGCGTGAACCCGGGTGGCGGAGCTTGCAGTGAGCCGAGACTGCGCCACTACACTCCAACCTGGGCGATAGAGCGAAACTCCGTCTCAAAAAAAAAAAAAAAAATCCATTTTGCTTTAAATGTCATTCTCAGATTGTTTCCAACATACCTGAAATCTGTTAATAAAGTTTAAATGTTAAAAGTTTAAAGTCTGACAAAAATTTGTATTGTTTTCTAGCACAGAGATACACATTCAAGTCCCTAAAAAACGGACGTTGCTTTAGCTATGAGCAAATCAGGATGCAAGGTGTTAACCTGCAAAAAATTCCTAGTCATACTGAATGCTTCCTTTGCATGTTTTTTTTTTTTTTTTTTTTTTTTGGAATAAAGCTGTTGTAATTATAAAATGATAGCATTACTTTACTTGTAAAATTTGACTTTTTCCTAAATAAGTTAAAATAATTTTATATTTCATTTACAACATAACCTGCTTTGATAATAACACCATTATTTTAGTAATACAGAGAATTACCAATAATCACCTAAAATATGCAGCATGCATTTGGAACTAAAAAGAGATCCTAATCATTTTACAAATACTTGAATTTTTAACTATGTAACTATGTTACGCTTTCATGACATTGCCATATGTGTATTTTCAACAAATTATAATTACTTGCAATATGTATCCCTATCTGGAAAAAATTCTGACTAATATTTTAAATTGAAATATTATCTAAATGAATACACAACTTTTAATTTTTTGTAAAAGGATAATTAATTTATGGTCCTATTCAAAATAGAATTATGATACAACAGTGCTTTTTAGCAGTTTTCTGACATTTCAATGTTCTTTAAATAAACCTGATTTCATTTTGTTTCTCTGTGAAATAATCTATCAGAAACTCAGTTGCTAATAAAGTTACATATATGTATATATAATCACTATGCTCACATATGTAAACTATATCTAGCAATCAAGAAATTTGTCAAATATACTCAAAGTATAGAACACAATTGTTAAAATATGCAATAACTAAGTCCCATTTCTTTGTTCATCAAACACCTAAAAGCAAACGAATTTTTTAATTTTATTCTAATTTTAATTTTAAGAATTTTTATCTACTTTCTAAGCATTGCCTTTTATTAAGAAGAACATTTTGAAAGGAGAACATCAAGTGATATAATAGTAAGACTTAACAGCTGCAAGTCTGACAGAAGAAACTAAGGGTTAAGAAAATTTAAAAAAAACAAAAATCTATATATTCAAAACTAGAGAATTCCATTTTAATGACAACGCATTAAAAATGGACTCCATGGGAAAACTACAGAGTATATAATTAAGAGTTTATCAGCATTCTTATGATAACTCATAGTTATCAATATTGTTCTCAGTCTAGCCAGTTTCAACCAATATTTTTGCATGTTTTTAGCATTTCTCATTTACTAATCAAGATTAAAGGTTATGTTATGCTTTAATATATATATGACTGACTGTAACTCTACTGACTAATTCAAGAATTGTGTGTCCGAATTAGGCAGATAAGAAGAAATACCAGTGTAGTTCCAAATCTCAAAGAAAAATAAATAAATATAGACCCAGACCTTACACCCTTCACAAAAACTAACACAAACATGATCATAGGCTTACATGTAACATGAAAACCTACAAAACTCCTAGAAGATAACATAGGAGAGAACCTAAATGACCTGTATATGGTGATAACTTTTTAGATACAACGCCAAAGGCACAATATATAAAATAAATAATTGACAAGCCAGACTTCATTAAAATTAAATCCTTCTGCTCTGCAAAAGACAATGTGAAGAGAATGGGAAGAGAAGCCACAGACTGGGAGAAAACATTTGCAAAACATACATTGAATAAAGGACTATTATCCAAAATATACAAAGAACCGTTAAAACTTAATAATAAAATAAAGACCCATTTAAAAATTGGACCAGGCCGGCACACGTGTGTAATCCCAGAACTTTGGGAAGCCAAGGCGGATGAAATGCCCGAGCTACAGAGTTCGAGACAACCCTGGGCAACATGGTGAAACCCTGTCTCTACTAAAACACAAATGATTAGTTGGGTGTGGTGGTGGGCGCCTGTAATCCCAGCTACATGGGAGGCCGAGGCAGGAGAATCCATTGAACCCAGAAGATGGAAGTTGCAGTGAGCTGAGATCACGCCACTGCACTCCAGCCAAGATGACAGAGGGAGACTCTGTCTCCATAAAATGAATTAAATAAATAAATAAATAAATACAAACTGGGCCAAAGTCCTTAAGAGGTAAACCACTAAAGGAAATATACAGATGGTAAATAAACATAGAAAAATCTTTCCACATCATATGTCTTCAGGGAAATGAAAATTAAGAGAACAGTGAGAAGCTACTACACAACTATTGGAATGGGCAGTAACGGGAACACTGACAACACCAAATGCTGAAGAGGGTGTAGAGTACCAGGAACTCTCACTCATCACTGGCTGGTGGCAGTGCATAATGGTACAGCCATTTTGGAAAACAATTAACAGTTTCTTATAAAACCAAGCATACCCTTACCAATTGTGCTCCCGTATATTTACCCCAAAAAGTCGAATACTCATGTCCACAGAAAAACCTGTGTACAGATACTTTTAGCAGCTTTATTCATAATTGTGAAAACTTGGAAACAACCAAGATGGCCTTTAGTAGGTGAATGGATAAGTAAACTATGGCACATCTAATCAAAGGAATATTATTCAGGGCTTAAAAAAAAGCTATCAAGACATAAAAAAGACATGGAATAAGCTTAAGTACATACTTCTAAGAGAAAAAAGGTAACCCAAAAAGGCTACATACTGTATAATTCCAACTATACAATATTTTGGAAAAGACGAAAGTAAAAGACTATAAAAAGATCACTGTTTGCTATGGTTTGGGAGGGCATTAGGAGGGATGGACAGCCAGAGAATGGCAGACTTTTAGAGATGTGAAAATACTTTTTATGATATTATACATGAATACATATTGTTATACATTTGTCCAAACCTATAGATTGTGTGATACCTAGAGTGGACTTTAAAATAGGTATGGGTTTTGAGTGGTCATGATTTGACAATGTACATCCATCATTGTACCATGTAACACGTGTACCTCTCTGGTGGGAGATGTTGATTATGGTGGGACCTTGTGATCCTATGAGTTAATATAATCGAGATATTATACACACACACACATACACCACACACATGCACACACACACATGTATCTATTCCATTAGTTCTGTCCCTCTAGAGAACCCTGACTAATACACCTACCTCTTTTAAAACTCTGTAGGGTCATAGTTTAACTTGTAAGTCTCTGGCTGGTGAAGATGCAAATAACCTGTCCACAGAAACAGAAACCCTCTAAGGTTTATTCTCTTGTAAAGCATGAAGACATATCCACTTTTGTATTGAACCTAACAATATTAGCCCAACACTTTTTGTAAAATGTCTCTCTGTCTGTATTTATATACATGTTTGTTTTTGAGATATATTTATACAATTTCTCCAGAACTTCTTAAATTGATCATAACATCTTATTTTGCCCTCATTAACAGAGTTAAATAAAATATTTGATGCATTCTTATTTTATATTTGTATAATAATTATATTAACCTTTTGAAAATTATAAGCTGATAAAAGAGGAGTCTTTATAATACAATGATTAATATTCTTTCAGGTATATACCTAGTAATAAGATCACTGGGCCAAATGACATCTCTGCCTTTAGGACTTTGAGAAATTGACACACTCTTCCACAATGGTTGAACTAATTTAAACTCCTACCAACAGTTTATAAGCATTCCTTTTTCTCCACAACCTCACCAGTATCTGTTATTCTTTGGCTTTTTAAAAATAGCCATTTTGACTGGCGTGAGATGGTATCTTATTGTGGTTTTGATTTGTATTTCTTTAATGATCAGTGATGTTGAGCTTTTCTTCATATGCTTGTTGGCCACACATATGTCTTCTATGAAAAGCATCTGTTCATGTCCTTTGCCCACTTTTTAATGAGGTTGTTTAAAACAATTCTAATTTTTAACTTGTGATTGTAATAATGCATACTAAACAAGAGCCATCAGTCTTGTAGGAGAAGCCTACCCTCAATGAGGAATTCCTTTTCAATGTGATAATAGCTTTGAATAAGAAACGCACCACTGAGGCCAGGGGCGGTGGCTCATGCCTGTAATCCCAGCACTTTGGGAGGCTGAGGCAGGTGGATCACCTGAGGTCAGGAGTTTGAGACCAGCCTGGCCAAAATGGTGAAACTCCATCTCTACTAAAAATACAAAAATTAGCTGGGCGTGGTGGCGGGCGCCTATAATCCCAGCTGCTTGGGAGGCTGAGGCGGGAGAATTGCTTGAACCTAAGAATTGCTTGAACCTTGGCTGCAGTGAGCCAAGATCGTGCCACTGCACTTCAGCCTGTACTACAAAAGCAAGGCTTCATCTAAAAAAAAGAAAAGAAGAAAAGAAAAAGAAATGCACCACTAAGAAGGAGTTGTCCTTCAAAGAGCCTTTGGCCTACAGAAGAGTCCTACCTGCAAGGCCCAGCACTTTGGGAGGCCGAGGCAGGTGGATCACGAGGTCAGGAGATTGAGACCATCCTGGCTAACACGGTGAAACCCCGTATCTACTAAAAATACAAAAAATTAGCCAGGCTTGGTGGCGGGCACCTGTAGTCCCAGCTAATCAGGAGGCTGAGGCAGGAGAATGGCGTGAACCCGGGGGGCAGAGCCCGCAGTTAGCCGAGATAGCACCACTGCACTCCAGCCTGGGCAACAGAGTGGGACTCCATCTCAAAAAAAAAAAAAAAAAAAAAAGAAGAAGATTCCTACCTGCAACGAAGACACCTTTCTCAAAACATTCTTGATCCCCCAAGTTGGGATCAACCATATGTGTCTAGCACTGCCCCTGAATCAAGAACAAGCAAGTACAGCACTGCCACTATGTCCAGCATGGGAAAGTCCAGTACCACCACCACGTTCAGTGCATGCGAATGTGCTTCCAATAAACCTTACTCACTAAAGGTCAAGAGAATATTGAAGGAGATGACTCCACTGGAAGATATTGACAAGGACCTTAGTGATCCATTTTTCAACTCAATATATACCAAGGAAATCTCCAGTTACATGAATTTGAGAGAGGAAAAGTTTATACTTACAAAAACACATAAACAGGCAGACTGACATCAACAGTGTCATGAGGGTCATTCTTGTGGACTGGTTGGGGAAGATGCAGATTTCTTTTGAGATGACCCAGGAGACCTTGTCCTTGGTACTGAAGCCAGTGTATCACTACTTCATGGAGGTAGTGTGCAAGAAGGATGGGTTACAACTCCTTGGTCCCACTGCCTTTTTGATGGCAGCAAAATTTGAAGAACCCTGCCCATCTTTTGTGGATGACCTCCTGTACCTCTGTGGTGGTATTTATCAGTGACATGAGATGCTTGCCATGGAAATCAACATCCTGCAAATCCTCAAATTTGACATCAACTTTCCCATTGCCTACCATTTTTTGCTCAGATATGCTAGGTGTATCCATGCCAACATGAAGACATTGACCTTATCCTGCTTTATATGTGAGATGACTATGCAGGAATATACTACATCTGGAGAGAGCTTCCAAGCTAGCTGCTGGCTCCTTCCTCCAGGCCCACTACATGAAGAAGCTCAGACACTGAGCTCCCACCCTTATATATTACAGTAGCTCCAAGACCTCTGAGCTTCACCACTTGGTCAGGCACCTAAACAGCCTACTGACTTTTCATTCCTACGATAGGTTCAAGACTGTGTATTCCAAGTATTCTCACCAGGTCTTCTTTGAGGTCTCCAAAATCCCCCCTTGGGCAAGTTGAAACTGGAGGAGATTTTGAACTGCTGATTATGAGGCTGAGGGCCTGGCACTCTAGCAACAGCCACAGGTCTAGGCAGGCTTATTAATAGACTGTGTTTATTCTGTGCTTGAATTTGTCTTTTGATCACTTTTCTTCATTTTTTTTCTCTTTGTTTTTCTTTTCCCAAACTCACAATGTTGTGAATATTTAAGATTTTATGAAAGAAAAAAATTATTGTCATATCTGAATAGATTTTTTAAAAAATTAATGATTGTTGTTTAAAAAAACAAGTTGATATTACTGGGCAGTATAAACTAGTTTAACTATTTTATTCACTTTTATTTGTAAAATTACCATATTCTGTATCAAAAATAATTTCATCTCAAATTTAAGTTACATATTCACTTAAAAATATGCAGTTTGGAACAAATTCACATGATTGTTTATTTATTACATGTATACCTATGTAATTAACCTGCACGTTGTGCACATGTACCCTAAAACTTATAGTATAATAAAAAAATTAAAATTAAAATTAAAAAAAGAAAAATAATGGACATTCAATATTATTTCGCCCAAATTAAGAATATCAAGATGATATTGTGAGTTTTCCAGGATCATAGTTATTAAAATCTTAAGTAGTCTCATACTTAAATTGTTTGAATAATTTGATCTTAGGAAATTAAAATCACAAAGAAGTTTAAAACATATAATATATGTTTAAATAATATATATTTAACATTTGATTTATATATATTATATATATAAAAATTTATTTGACTTATCCAAGATAAAGGTACTGCATACTTGAAAAGTAACAGGCTTTATCTGGAAATGTGAATTCTAGAATAGTCACCATTAAAGGATACTTACCAAGGCGTTGATAAATATGTAACAAATATATTCCTAAATCTAGGTGTTATTTAGCATGAGAATATTTGCTCTCTCTGCCCTGGGTTCCGTGCATCTAAACAGCCCCAGGTGCAGTGAACATCTTCAGTGACTGTTGTAGAAATAACGAAGTTTGTATTCATATCTAGTTGTCTCATAGAGATAATTAAGTATGAATTTTACATTTTCTTTTGGCACACCATATTTGGTTCATGCTTATAAAAGAAATGCCATCAGTAAATATACTTCTAAAAATAAGTCCACTTATTCCATAGGAAGATAAAATTATTTAAAGTGAAATAATGTTTCTTGTGTACAAGTTTATTGTTAACTACACACTTTCAATATACTTTTATTTTTTAAATAGTTTTAAACATACTTTAAAAATCTTTACAAATGCATTTTACGACATAAAATGTATTTACTTTCTTTTTTAAATTGAAGAGTAAAGTCTTTTCTACAAAACAAGAATACAAGTGTCACTGAGTAACAAAGTAATGGAGAGTAATAAGTCAAATTTATTTCATATATTAAACTAAAAAAGATATATAAATACTGGCATTAACTTCAAAGATACTTATTGACATTTAAATATATTGTTATATAAATGATTCTGAATCTCTTCAGATATTAAAAAAATTTTCAAGAAATATAATGGTGACATAATTAATTTAATAATGATATGTAGAAATATGTGCAGAATATAATGGGGCACAAATTAAAGTTGGAACCATTTTATATTGAAGTTAGAATTTTTTTAATAAACATTCGTGGTTATTTGGTGTCTTAAGATATTAATATATTCACCCAAACATATAAATTAGTTTTATTTTCATATATGATGCACATAGTTGCTATGGTCCTTTTTGCAGAAAACACATGCTAAACAATGGATTAATAGGTGCAGACTGACACAGAAATATTTCAAGGTACAGTACACAATAGAAAGTGTACTCATGCAGTGTTTAGGTAAACTAATCAATAAGGCAAGAAAACATTCCATCACTGTTTATCAAAACATTGAGTCAGAGACATAGAGAATTTAAGAAGAACAAATAGAGATGAATCATCAGTAATGAGAAACTGAAAGTTTGATAAAATGTATTTTTCTCCAGATAAAAATAAACAGAAAACAATATCAACAAAATTGGGCAAACAAAATGATAAAAATAAATTCATCACAGAGCTGCAGGCATTTGGAAATGAATTATTACAAGAGGCAATATATTTTAAGGAAATCATGAGACATTTGTCCATAGTGGTTAAAATCATGGATTCTACTCATAGGGCCTAGTTTGAATTGACTCTATAACTTAGCAGCATAACCTTAGATAATTTACTAAATCTCTTGGTCCTATCTGTGAAA
Organism: Homo sapiens; assembly: GCF_000001405.40. NCBI lineage: Eukaryota > Metazoa > Chordata > Mammalia > Primates > Hominidae > Homo > Homo sapiens. The sequence goes on along the minus strand of NC_000005.10, from coordinate 26,737,567 downwards.
TATGGCATGTCATGATACCTTATAGGGCTGATGTGCAGATAAGATTCAGCCTTTCTCAGCATAATGGCTGGTAAATAATACTTTCTAAATAAACATTAGGCATTATTTTTAGTGTTATCAAGAGAGTAGATGATTTATCTATAAAACAGGAGCTAAGAATCAAAGGAGACAAATAGCTAAGCTATTTTTTAAAAGATCAAGTGTAGAGGGAGATGAGTAAGATAGAAAATGACTTAAAATAAACTGTAAATGCAAAAGCAAGGTTTAAATAGCTTTTAGCATACTGAAGAGTAGAATTGACACTAGGGATAATTGTATTTGTGATGTTTATCCAATACAGGAAAAAAAAAGGAGGGAGATAAAAATAATGAGAAATGTAAGCACTGTATCTAGTAATGGAGAAGGGAAAATTACGAATGCTTAATGTGTCCAGGTCATACCTCACAGTGTTTATCTGTGCAATTCCAGTATATTTTTCTCCCCTTCAGCTCTCTGATAATGGCAATTTTTCCCTTTTCAAATGAACATCAAGGTAGAAAGTGGTTCAGGAATCTGAAGGCTCAAGTTCCCAGTCTCCAGAGGAAGTTTTGCTGTCCTAGAGATGAAATGAGCTTCCATAAATACGACTGTGTGTGTGTGTGTGTGTGCATGTGTGTGTTGCTTTTTTTTGTTGTTCCAAACAGCTTTAGCACCCATGATACCAAAGAATGAAGAATGCTTTGGGAGTACTGGATGTGTCTATTACCATTAATATGACTGTTTCTGCTTCCATTTTTTTCCCTCTACTCATTTCAAAGATCTATCCATAGTAGAGTTACTGAAACTCTTGGTATCTCAGTTTCCAACACTAGAAAAATGTGTTGGAAGTTATTGTGCCTACCTGAAAGTAAAATTATAAAATTTAAATTATTTTAATGCAAATAAAGCACATGTAGAAAATAATATCAGTTGTTATTATCATTCTTTTATCTATGGTCAAATTTGTTTTAAAAAATATTATATAAAATGATGCTTTTAACTAGCACATGGAAAAATGATTGCCATATATATAATAAAATGATAGATTTAGTATAATGATGATTTAAGTATATGTTTGTATGGAACAGATGAAACAAACTGGCTTTTAATTTCAATTTATTATATACAATGTGTTACTTGGAATTTTGACTTACTAAATAACAATTATTTTCACACAGAAAATATGTCAATATTGATATCTATGTTTGTATTTTCATATCTAGAAATTATATGTGTGTGTGTATGCATAGATCTACATATCTTGTAAGTGTAATAGGCTGCAATAGTGTGAGATGTAATGGACGTATATTATTTTGGTGTGTAAATTTACAAGAGAGTTTATTATTAAATAGGAAATAATATTGGTACATAGTTTATGCTAACCAATAGGAGTGGATATAATAATAATGGCTACTGAATTCTTTTCCATTGCCAAGTTTATCTTGGTGGTAATTTTTACACTTAGAAAACTAAACTGCTTTTAGTGGGGCATTGAGGCCTTCTTTAACGCACTGCAAAAGAAATATGTTAAATAGTACCCTAGAATCCTAGTGATTAACACCTAACTACAGTCAGTAAAAGTTCATTTGGAATTCTACTTCCCTCAATTATCTTAGCCTTCTCAAACCTCTACGTGCTAAATAGTGATAATTCTTGTTCATAATGATAACTCCAAGGAACTCTAAGATTCCAGTATATTTTCTGGTTCTTTGAAGAAATAATACGTTTAACAGAGTTTAGCACTGAACTAATTTTATTATGCTCCAAGACTGTTCAAATGGCTAATCCGTATATTCTCTAGGAAATATAGTAATTAACCAAGATTTCTCATACCCCTTATAGCATTCTATGTAATTGAATTTACTGTATGGAGAATTAATTTGAACTCTGTGGAAAGTAAGACTCAATGTTCTTTTATTTTTAAAACACGCTTTGGGCAGTTTCACTTAACTTCTGTTCTGATTTTTTTTTTCACTTATAAAGTTATAATACTGATATGCAAGTTGCTGTGTTAAGGTGTCTGACACACAACAGGAATCTATAAATGAGTTTCATTATTATAGTTGTTACACCTGCCACTCTACAATACCAGTTCATTTTGTAACCCTTATTAGTAGAGAAAAGGAAAACAAGATTAGATTGTTTTTTCAGCTAGTCTGTATTCAAGTCCTACTTTCACATTTATTAATTGTGTTCCTGGGTCTCAAGTTTTCTTTTCTTCATAACTAAAATAATATTAGAGAAATGCTATGAACTATTAACATGGCATATTTATATATGCTAGAAGTTGGTAATTTATAACACTCAGTGTGCTTATTGATATAGCTTAAAACACTTAATACAAGCTGGTCTTAAGTAACTGAACAATTTTTGAATGTGTATAATGAAAGTACATTATAAAGTTTAAGATCTATACGCTATGTGAATATTAATAGTCTCAAAAGTAAACTCAGAAGTTTGTTGAACTAAAATGATGAAGTATGCATGTAAAGAAAGGATCCCCACTTCTTTTGTACAGATAATTTCATATCTATAATGAAAATCAGAAAGCATTATTTTTGTTGTGGGGGAAAAATAAAGTTTATTATCTGTTGAAATGCCATTTCTCCTCATTATATCTTAAACAATGAAATCACTTTATGAAAAGTTGCTTATATGCTCAACAATTAATATACTCACAGTTTTGAGGAAGATAGTCATAAACTGGTTTGCAATTACAATTGTTGGATTTTAAGGAAACAAAATGATTTTATTTTGTGAAGAGAGACAAGAAAGCACAAAATGATACTTTGTTTAGTTGAATATTCAATATGCAAAATGTTTCTGTTTTGAATATTGTTGACTTGTGGAAAAATAATAAATTATCCAGATGCAGATGTTACCACAATTGGAGAATTCTCAATGAAAGATAGTGAAGATTAACTCAAAGCATATGTTAAAAATAGTCAAATTGTTTTCTTCTTCTTCAAATATTCCTTCTTACTCTTTAAAGGCCTATAATTGTGAATAGAATACTTATGGCTTTTTGTAATTATTCTACTACAATTTAGTGAAGGGAAAGTAGAGTAAAAATGGGATAATATATGTGTTTGTCTTCCAATAACAGGTAAAGGCATCAGTAAAATTCAATCATTCATCATTCTACATATTTGCTGGAAAAATAGCTTTTGTCCTTTAACTACACTTCAAGGTCAGTAAATGACATATTCCACCATTCTGTGTACAATTGTTTACCCCCTTTAAAGCTAACAAGTCAGAAACCCAATTTCTACATGGGAAACAGGAAAAGAAAGAGAGGCTGACCTCTGCATTTAAAACAAATCTTTCATTATAAAAGGCACAATGGTCACAAAATGGAAGAATATTAAGTGGATTTGTCATTACATCAAATCTAGAACACAAAAGCAATTAGCAACAGAACGGTAAAATATTTTCCTTTCAATAATGGCTCATTATTGCAAATCAGGTAACTATGTAATCAGTTTAATAGTGTGAGTTGAAATACTTGGGTTTAGTATTGCTCATTAAAGACAAAAATCAAGTATTTGAAGCCATAGCATACTATTTTTAGATCAACTCTTACTGTTGTGGTATGTCATAGGTTAAAGATTAGGGAGGAAATCATGATAATTCCAAAAAGGCATGCTATTGAATTAAAGATAGCAATAAAAAAGAATCAAGACTGACACACAGTGAGTGGTCAATATCCATTAAGCAGTGAAACATTAAAAGGAAGTAGGTAACTGCCTGTCTTAATCAATTCAGGCTACTGTAACAAATTATCATAGACTGGGGGGTGGGGGCTTATAACAGCAAACATTAATTTCTCACAGCTCTGGAGACTGGGAAGTCCAAGATCATAGTAGCAGCAGATCCATTGTCTGTGGAGGACCTGCTTCCTGGCTTGCAGAAGGCTATCTTCCTTTTTGTAACCTCACCTGGTGGAGATCTGAGATACAGAGAAGGCAAACGCTTGTGTCTGTTGTTATGAGGCAAGTAATTCCATTTATGAGAGATGTACCTGATTCTTCCCAAAGGCTCTACCTCCCAATACCATCACTTTGAGAATTAGGATTTCAACATAAAAATTTTGGAGGTATACAAACATTCAGTTCACAACGTTGTCCTAATAAAGAACATAAGCTTTTCATTCATTTTACTTTCTTGGGGTTTTCTGTTTCTCTTTCTTCTCTTCCTTTTCTGATGTGAGAAATATCAGATGGAAATGAAATAGAAATCTAGATATTAACACTGACTGAACATCTGGAAGACTTGAGGAAAGTTGTGTGTTTGTTCTGCTTTGTGTTTATTAATGAATTGTTTTACCACTAGCAAAAATAACTCCAAAGCATTGGCTCCCCAAAATGGATGAATATGTAGAATAATCTAGGAAATAGTAAAAAAACAAAAACAAAAACAAAAACAGCATAAGTGGAAGAATATATTGATGAAGATTTATTGGTAGAATTTGGCTAGGAAGCCATCTGGACCAGGGAATTTTTTTTTAAGTTGGTAGGTTTTTTCATGACTGATTCAGTTTCAGAACTTGCTATTGCTCTATACAAGTTTTCACGTTCTTCCTGGTTCAATCTTGAGAGGTTGCATTTCCAAAAATTGATCCATTTCCTCTAGATTTTCTAAGTTGTGTGCATAGAGGTGTTCAGAATGCATCTACAAAGACCTGGTTCCAATTCTCTTAAAAGGATTCCAAAAAATCTAAGAGGAGAAGCTTCTCTCTAATTCATTCTAGGAAGCCATCACCAGCCTGACACTAAAATCTGGCATAAACACAATGGAAACAAAACACACACTCATGTATCAGGCCAATATCTCTGATGAACATACACACAAAAATCTGCAAAAAAAATTAGCAAACAGAATCCAGCAGCACATTAAAAATTTAATTCACCACAACAAAGTAGGCTTTATACCTAGGATATAAGGTTGGTTCAACATATGCAAATCAATAAATGTGAGTCCCCCGTATAAAGGTAATTAAAAACAAAAACCATATGATCATCTTAGCAGACACAGAAAGATCTTTTGTTAAAATCCAGTTATCTTTTTGTGATTAAAAACCCTCAACACACAAGGCATTGAAGGAACATACATCAAAATAATAAGAGCTATCTATGACAAACACACAGCCAACATCATACTGAACAGGCAAAAGCTGGCACCATTCCCCTTAAGAAAGGGAACAATACAAGGATGCCCACTCTCACCACTCCTATTCAACATAGTACTGGAAGTCCTAGTCAGAGCAATCAGGCAAGAGGCAGAAAAAAAAATGTATTCAGTTGAGAAAATAATTTGAATTTAAATAGCAAAAGATGGCAAATTTTCACTCTTCACTAAAGACATGATATTATATCTAGAAAACCCTAAAAACTCTGCCAAAGGCTACTAGAACTGATAAATGATCTTAATAAGGTTTCGGGTTAGAAAATCAATATACAAAATCAGTAACATTTCTATACGCTGACAACATCTAGGCTCAGAGTCAAATTAAGAACACAATCTCATTTAAAATAGGCACAAAGAAAATGAAATTCCTAGGAATACAGCTAACCAAGGACACAAAAGATCTCTGCAAGGAGGACTACAAAACACTTCTGAAAGAAATCAGAGATGACACAAATAAGTGGAAAAACATCCCATGCTCATGGGTTGGAAGAATCAATATCATAAAAATGGCCATAATGCCCACAGCAATTTAGGTTCAATACCAGTTCTATCAAACCACCACCATCATTATTCACAGAATTAGAAAAAAAGCTATTCCAAAATTCATGTAGAAACAAGAAAGAGCCTGAATAGGCAAAGCAATCCTAAACAAAATGAAATAAGCCAGAGGCAGCACGTTACTCAACTTCAAACTATATTATAAGGCTACAGTAACCCAAACAGGATGGTACTGGTACAAAAACAGACTAATGGATTAATAAAAAAATAGAGAACCAGAAATAAAGCCACACACCTACGACCACCTGATCTTCAACAAAATTGACAAAGACAAAGAATGGGAAAAAGACTCTCTAGTCAATAAATAGTGCTGGAACAGCTGGCTAACCATATATGGAAGAATGAAACTGGACCATTACTTTTCAGCATGTACACAAATTAACTGAAGATAGATTAAAGATTTAGATGGAAGTTCTCAAACTATAAAATTCCTAGAAGAAAACTTAGTAAATACCCTACTTGACATTGGCCTTCCCAAAAATAAATGTCTAAAGCCTCAAAAGCAATTGTAACAAAAATACAAATGGATAAGTTGGACCTAACTAAATTAAAGAACATCCGCACAGAAAAGGGAAGTATCAACAATGTAAACAATCTACAAAAGGAAAAAAAAATTGCAGACTATGTCTCTGACAAAGGTCTAATATTCAGAATCTATGAGAAACTTAAACAAAACAGCAAGCAAAAAACAAATTACCCCATTAAAAATGGGCAAAGAACATTGTGATGGTTAATACTGACTGTCAACTTGACTGGATTAAAGGATACAAAGTATTGACCCTAGGTGTCTCTGTGAGGGTGTTGCCAAAAGAGACTAACATTTGAGTCAGTGGGCTGGGAAAGGCAGATCCACTCTTAATCTGGAGGGCACAATCTAATCATCTGCCAGCAAATACAAAGCAGGCAGAAAAACCCAAAAAGGAGAGACTGGCCTAGTCTCCCAGCCTACATCTTTCTCCCATGCTGGATGCTTCCTGCCCTTGAACATTGGACTCCAAGTTCTTCAGTTTTGGGACCTGGACTGACTTTCCTTGCTCCTTAGGTTTCAGACAGCCTATTGTGGGACCTTATGATCATGTAAATTAATACATACATGTGTATGTGTATATATATATATATATATACACACACACACACACATATATGTATATATATGTATATATATATGTATATGTATATACACACACCCCCTTTATAATATTTAACAAACTCCCCTATATATATATATACACACTTTATATATATACACACACACATTTTATATATATATATATACATACACACACACACACACACACACATATATATATACACTACACACACACACACACACACACACACACACACACCGATTCATGGGCTATATGTACCCAATGGTATATATATATATGGATACATATATATTCCATTAGTTCTGTCCCTCTAGGGAACCCTGACTAATACAAACATGAACTAACACTTCCCAGTGAAGCTGGAAAACATCATCCTCAGCAAACTAACACAGGAACAGAAAACCAAACACCGCATGTTCTCACTCATAAGTGGGTGTTGGAAAATGAAAACACGTGGGCACATGGAGGGGGACAACACACACCAGGGCCTGTTGGGGGGTAGGGGGCTAGGGGAGAGAACTTAGAGGACAGGTCAATAGATGCAGCAGCCCATGGTGCACGTATACCTGTGTAACAAACCTGCACCTTCTGCACATGTATTCCTTTTTTTTTTGAGAAGAAATATAGAAAAACAAAACAAAAACAAAAACTAAAATTCCTTTAAATCAATTTTTAAAGAAAAGACATAGAAGCAGCCAACAAACATGAAAAAATGCTCATCACTAATCATTAGAGAAATGCAAATCAAAACTGCAATGAGATACCATCTCACACCAGTAAGATGGAAATTATTAAAAAGTCAAAAAACAACTGATGCTAATGAGACTGAAGAGAAAAGAGAATGGTTATACACTGTGGTGGGAATGCAAATTAGTACAGCCACTGTGGAAAGATGTTTGGTGATTTCTCAAAGAACTTAAAACAGAACTACCATTTGATCCAGCAATCTTATTACTGGGTATATATCCAAAAGAAAACAAATCATTCTGCAGAAGAACATGCAGTCTTATGTTTATCACAGCTCTATTCACAATACCAAAGACATGGAATCAACTAAGGTGTCCATCCTTGGTGGGCTAAACAATGAAAATGTTGCACATATGCACCATGGAATACTATGCAGCCATCAAAAACGACAAAATCATGTCCCTTGCAGCAACATAGATGCAGCTGGAGGCCATTATACTAAGCAAATTAATGCAAGAATAGAAAACCAAATACCACATGTTTTCACTTATAAGTGGAAGCTAAGCATTGTATACATACGAACCTAAAGATGGTACAATAGATACCAGATACTACCAGAGAAGGGAGGAGGGGCGAAGTGGCATATTATCTATTGGATAATATGCTCACTACCTGGATGACAGGATCAATTGTACTCCAAACCTAAGCATTATGCAGTATACCAATGTAACAATCCTGCACATGTACCCCTGAATCTAAAATAAAAAAATAAAATTTCTTTTTTAAAAAAGATTGATTGGATACTAATAATCTGAGGAAAAAGACTGGGGAAATTACTACTGCACCCCATTTTCAGTTAAGGCAGATTCTCTGGGGAAGCCAAAGTTACTAATAAAATAAATTCTAGAATAGCAAACTATGGAATGTTTTCTTACAATATCAATGTTAGAAAACCTACAAGAAAGAGGGTTACAGTCAGGATAGTGATTTATCAATGCAGAAATAAGAGCAGAAGATTGGAAATCAAGAATTGCAAGGAAATTAACTTAGCAAAGATAGTCGTTCTTATAGTGTATAATACATATACCAAAGAGAGTGGGTTGTGTGTTTTAATAGAACCCAAATTAAATTTAACAGTAAGATCCAGTAATATATAAATTTTAGTCACAATGAAAATATAAAATTTTAATTTACAAGAGATAGCTAAAGGAGAGCTAAAGAAATTAAGAAAAATCCAGAGTGAAGACATTTTATTATTTAATGTTTCTCATATTTCTAAAATATTCTAAATTACTGGAGAACATTAAGTATTATTCTCCTTGGGAGAAGACAAGGCCTTCCTTTTTTTTTTTGTAAACTGGGGTACATTTACTGGTGTATTTGAAAAAAAACAAAAACAAAAACAAAAAAAAAAACTATGCTCCTATGAATAACCAGCAGGGAATGACTTCGAATTGAGTTTTAATTCTCCGAAATGGATTTTAGACACTGAAAGAATCATGGTAAAGTAGAAACCACTAAGCCTCTGCTTTTTAAATTTTTAATCACGTACATTAATTTCTAGTCTAATCTCTTCCACAGTAAATATTTATATTATCGCATGGTTTCTGCTCTAGTAAGAAAACTTGCTTCTAGATTGCAATATAAATATGTTGATTTGTGCTACTACGTTTGTAGCTGATGCTAGATAGCTTTATCAATTCTGTTGAAAATTTAAAACTTTGAAGAATTGGGTTCACAAGAACATACCTAGACTTAGTGGAAGAATACGTTCATTTCATCAAGTCTGACGATGCTCTACCACTAACTTTGGATGTCTTCACAAGATACATCTGTTGAATAAGGAAATAAAGCTCCACTCAGCCAGCTTTTAAGAGTGCTCTGTCATGCAGAGGACCCAAAACAAATGGAGGTTGTGGGGGATGCCTACCTCACATAGTATATGGGTAAAGGCAATGTTAATAGCTCTTTTTTTGAGTCAAATTTTTTCCTCAATTTCTCCGGGGTCAGTATAGAGTAACAGATTTGGGAAGTCTATGTTCATCAATATGTTTACAAAACTGCAATGTTGAAACACAAATGATATGCAAGTGCTTTGTGGTTGAGAAAAAACAGTTTCTAACCACCTTATCACTTTCCTTAACAATGTCCACCTTACCTTGTGCTTTACTACGGTCTTTACTCACTTATCTTCATCACACTTAGACATATACACAAAGAAATCTACATGCAGAAGGGAAGGTATTATTAAAAGCTAATAAGAAAATGAAGATAAAGATATACTATACAACTTGCCTAAATTGCCTCTATTTTTTTGTATAATGAAGATTAAACCAGAATCTTTAAGCTCTAACTTCTATCTCTCCCTCTAAAAGAGATATTTATATTACACACAAGCTGTAAGCATTTAGATTCTATTTATCATGACAATCTTTTTTGAAAATTTTAGTGAATCTTAACATTTCTTTACATACTACACTGATTGGATTGCAGTTTTGCTGACTTATGTTGCTCTACATTATCTAGAATAATTTACTTAAGCTGCCTGTACACCCTAAATACCACTTAACTATATTCGTAAACATGTATTGCCATTGTTAGAATAAAACCAAGGGCATAGTTAAACATATGCAATTACTTGGTCTTAAAGATGGAGAAAAATATAGATGTTTAAAATTGAATACGCTGTGATATAAGACACCGTAAATTAAGTTAAACAAATTTAATGGGTTTTCTTATGTTCAAAGGAGCATGTGGAATACAATAAAATAACATATCAAAGTCTTTGACCTCAAATAACTTGTGGTTAGTAAGAAATCTTATTGGAATATGTATCAGTCAGGTATTACTAGAATACAAAACAAATCAAAACAAAACACATCTGCATATTGGCTAGAGTTCAGGCAAACCTGATTGCTGTCTGCTGATTCTAGCTGGGCTTGCTCAAGGGTCTGTGGGTTAATGGGCTGATGCATGTAGCTGTTCATTGACTGGTTCTGCACTGTAAGTTAGGCTTTTCTGCTGAGCTTAGTTGCACCAGTTTGGTGATATGTATGCCTCCCCACCTAGTTGAAAACAGTGGACTAACACAGGTACATCCTTCTAATGGTGATGTCCTTAGAAGGACAAAAAAAAAAAAGCATATATATGTAAGTAATTGTTAAACATCTTGTGTTATGTCTGCTAACAACTTATTAATCAAAAAAGACAAATGGAGTCAAATTGAGAAGATGTTATATTCTAGTTTTCACTACCGCATAACAAATTGGTCCCAATAATGGCATAAAACAACCAACATTTTATTATACATCATGGATTCTGAATATCTGAACTATAGGTCAGACTGGCTGGATGATTCTTCTACTTTTCCTGGTGTTAACTGGGTGCACTGAGTGCAGCTCAGCTGGTGAGTTGCCTCGCCTTGAAGATCCATGTGGGCTGGATGAAACTGTTAGACATTTGCACTAAGATGGCAGCAAGTTTGTTCTCAGCTAGCACTACTAACCAGAATGCCTAGATATGACCAGCTCTGCACGATGTTTCCAGAGGCATCAGATTTCTACGTAGGAATTTCTTGCTCCAAAGAAAACATCCAGTGAGAATCAGTCAGAAGTTGCATGCACATTTCTGTCCTAGCCCTGGAAGTCACGATGTGTATAATCTGCCACATTCTATTGATTCCAAGATGGCTATTAGGTCAGACTTCATTCAATGGGAGAAGAAGTAGATTTCACCTCTTGATGAAAGGTGGCAAAATCATTTTGTATCAGTGCACGGAAGGTGAAACATGTTATTGTGGAAAGACAACTTTCAAAAATAAAATATGCCATATACAGCAAAGCCATATGGCAAAGGTCATGGATATAGAGAGGAATAAAGAGCTAAGACTACTAAGATAATCCACTAGAGAAATATATACTGATGGTTATGAAAATAATTTTAATATTTGTAAATAAAGCATAAATAATATTAACACAATTTATTTACCCTAATAAATATTTATGTATATATTTGTATATGGTGTCTTTTTGGTATCCTGTGCCACTTAAGTTGGCAGAGTACTAAATTACCTATAAAAATACATTAAAAATTGAAAAATTGGGATAAAACAACTGCAGTTTTTAAGATAAATAATTTGGCCGGGCGCGGTGGCTCACGCCTGTAATCCCAGCACTTTGGGAGGCCGAGGCGAGTGGATCATGAGGTCAGGAGATCGAGACCATCCTGGCTAACAAGGTGAAACCCCGTCTCTACTAAAAATACAAAAAATTAGCCGGGCGCGGTGGCGGGCGCCTGTAGTCCCAGCTACTCGGGAGGCTGAGGCAGGAGAATGGCGTGAACCCGGGAAGCGGAGCTTGCAGTGAGCCGAGATTGCGCCACTGCAGTCCGCAGTCCGGCCTGGGCGACAGAGCGAGACTCCGTCTCAAAAAAAAAAAAAAAAAAAAAAAAAAGAATTAATATTATTTTTTATAAGTATAAACATAAAAGAACACTTAAAAATGGTGACCTTCCAGCAAAGGAAAATGTGAAAAAACATCAATTCACAAGAGAAAAATTACAATGATTACTTAGGGGAAATTAATGAATTAATTAATGTCAATGGCATTAAGTATAGATAAAAATAAGAAGACATAATATTTCCCCAGTCAAATGATCAAATATAAAATCTTAAAAATTATTCTGTGTAGTTTCAATAAGGGCGTACTTAAAGAAGAGCACTCTTGCTTTGATAGTGAGACCATACTTCAGCAAAATGTAAAATATAAATGTGTACAGGGCATTGCCCCACAATCTCACATTTATAAACTTTATTCCAAAAGGATTTTATGAATGTATTCAAAGGTTTAGCTGTAGGGATATCTATTGCAGCACTCTTAGTATAGTAAATTCAGAAAAATATAAAAGACCAGCAGTAGAAATATAACGAAATAATATAGAGATTTTTAAAATAATAAAACTATCAAAAGATTAAAATTATTGTAAATATATTTATTTGTGAACATGGGGAGATGTTAATAATATATGATTAAGTTAAGTAACAAGTTTCAAGTCAATATGTATAAAAGTAGTTTAAATTACTAGTTGTTAAACAATATTCACCTCTACTCCCTACTCTATGCCTATAGCTAAACGACAGTTCTCTGATTCCTGCAGTTAGACAAGGTCACACCACAAATTTTTGTTTGAAAAAAATAGTTCCAGTGATATGTGTTTTGACTGGTGCATAAAAATTTCATATCCACACAGACACTCCTCCGTGGACTTTTCCCCATCTAGGTGACCGGAGAGGTAACAACATAGGTGACCTTAAAATGAACATCCCTTGCCCTGAACAGTGACATAGGAAAGAAGGACACTTTTTGTTCTTTAAATCACTGTGTTTTGTAGGGTTTTTTTTGTTCCCTCAGTTTATCTGAACTTCACTTTTAAATTAGGGTGGCTTATTGCAAAATTATGTTAGCATCCTATCGTTATTAAGAGAAATGTCTCTGGAATCACATTTCTGCATTCAAACCTTGGCTCTGACATTTATTCATAAGTGATCTTGGGCAAGTGATCCAGTCTTTCCATTCCTCAGTTTCCACAAGCTTAAAGTGTGCATTAAAAGTGTATTCATTGTTAAGAAATATTTCAATAACTTGAAAATAATGCAAAAGGGTAGTTGAGTGACATTTCAAGTATCCGACTGGAGCCTTGACTTACTGATGAACTTCAGGATTATTAAATTCTCTAGAGGATGTACTTTGTTAACTATTTACTCTGTAAAGGTGTATTAAAACGTGTTCACTAGAGATACAAGCTATTCAGTTAAAAAATAAACTTCAAATAATTTTAAGATTATTATTGCCTTGCAGTATACTAAATATCTTTGGATCTGACCATGTGATCTTATGTCAACATTCTTTCTTCAATGCTCATACTTTTTAAAATTCTATTTGAATAACTTTTACTATCCTGGTGGTTTTCTCCTTAGTGAATTAAATAAATCTCTATTCCTTGGAAAATATGAACTATATGCATAACAGGTACATATTAAAAGTGTTTAAAAGGTGTATGACATGTAATAACTCAGAAGTGTTACATACATATTTCTTTATTCAGATGATATTTTTGTGTGTTCTTACTATGTTCATGAATGAACAAGGAGGCCAATACAGCTGAAATACAGCCAGCAAATTCGACAGTATTAGATTTTGAGATTGTTGAGGAAGAAGGGCATAATTTATATGGACCCTTATAAATCATTTCAAGGAAGTTAGTGACACATAAAATCATTTGAAGTTTTATGAGCAGAAGATTGACTTGAATTGTGCCTAAACTTGACCCATCTGGGAATTATATTTAGAAAAAATTTTAGGCAAACAATGATGTAATCTGTTTATATCAGGAAGGAGGCAAGAGACAATGGTGGTCTCAGAGGAGATGTAAAAAGCAATTGGTTTTTGTACATATAGCTAGAACAAACCATACTTGCAGATTGATGGATATTAGGGTCAAGGAGAAGAGTCAAAAGTCTTTGGAATTAGTGACTGGAAGGGTAGATTTCCCATAATAGAAGTGAAGACTGTGGTGTAGTTGGTTTTGGAAGATCTATCACGAGTTCGGTTTTGAACTTATATGCTTTGAAACATGTATTAGCATCCAAAAATATGTCACGCAGATAGTCAGATACAAGTTCAGTTCAGGTGGGAACGATCAGGAATTGAGATGTAAAAATCAACATCTTCAACAGACATAATTGTTTGAAGCTAAGAGATTTCAGGATATCACAAGGATACACAAATGCAAAGGAGAGAATAATACATGGCGCCATCGTGTTCCCCATCTTGAAGATATGAGGAAAACGACGGAACAAGAAAATGAAAGTGAGAAGGAGTGGTCTACAAGGTAGCAGAAACAACAATACCAGCAATTAAAATTAGGGAGCCAAAAGAAGAATGTTTTCACAGGATAAGGTGATTATGTCAAATAGCGAAGATAGGTAGTATTAGAAGCGGCCTAATATTGAAACATAGTAAATAACACATACAAATCATTGGAGATTCAGGCAAAGGCACATTTAATGATTTGGAGGAGTAAAAACCAGTTAGGAGTTGGTTTAAAATGGAATAGGAGATCTAGGGAAGAAGGTGATAAGAGCCACATGGCCTCCCATTGTCTTTCCATCTCTCCCCAAATTCTCACATAAAATTAAATTGAAAAACCATGACCATGACAGCGAAACTGACAATTCATTGGCAACATCTCTAAAAAGTTTAGGTGACAAAGTATCCCAACCAACTCCCTATATATGAAAGGGTGATTGTTAAAAACCATCAATAACTACAGATACAGGTGATAGCAGTAAGTTTGTGGAAGGAATACACACCAAAGGACCCTAGAGTTGACAAATCTATTGACAAGAAAGGATGCTGGGCCCATTGAAGGTGAGACAACTAAATCATAAGCGGTTTTACAAACAACAACGTGAGTGTAAATGAAGTGTAGAAGGTTGCAGAGAGATGAAGTTGTTTGCAGCCTGTGAAACTACAAAATTAACAAAATCTATATTTCTTCTGGACAAAATCATTTTTTCAGCCTTACATTGAGTTAAAACAGATAGAAATAGGATACAAATTACACAAGAATGGAACAATCAGGAGACAGAAGAAGTGCAGCTAAAAGTGTGGGAAGCCACAGAAGAGGTGACTGATCTAAGAGTATAATTGCCATGTTATATAACTTCACAATAGTAACAGAAGAGAGAGCTCTAGAAACATGAAACTCAACATAATTTTCTGGCCTGCTCCTCCTACGGGAAAATTATGTACTATAAATGTAAATAACAGAAAGTATTAGTTCAAATCAACGGCTATGGCCTGAATGTTTGTGTCCCCACAGAATTCATAGTTAAAAACTAATCACCAATGTGACAATACGAAGAGGCGGGACCTTGGAAGGTTATTCGGACATGAGGGTGATTAGGTTTACAAATCTTGTGAATGGGATTAGTGCCCTTATAAAAGAGGATGCAGAGAGTTGTCTTGTCCCTTCCACCATGTGAGGTTACAGTGAAAAGATGGCCAGCTATGAATCAGTAAGCAAGCTCTCACCAGACAGGGAATCTGTTGGTACCTTGGTCATAAACTCAGCTTCCAGAAATGTGAGAAATAAATTTCTGTTGGATCCATTTTATGGTCTTTTGTCAGAAAAGCCTAAAGGGACCAAGACAATAATTAACAATTATCATTGTTAAAAAGTTAAGAAAAAATACCTATGAATAACAAGGAATTGCTAGAAAGACATTTGAACAAAAAAGCCTAAAAAGCTCTAACAAATATTTCAAAACAAGCTAAAAAAAATAAAGAAAAAGAAGAAATCTTTTTGAAAAAAACAGCAGTAATCAGAATAAGATGATTGAAGAACAGGGAGAATTATAAAATAAAGTGACGAAACTCTAAAATAACTAAAACACAATAAAATCAGTTTGGATATAAAGACAAAAGTGAAAGGGATAAAAATTTAATAATCACAATCAACTATGGTAAGAAAAATAGATGAAAAAGATAAAATGTTTTTTTAAAGAAAGATAAGAGTAGACAAAGGACAACAGATAAAGTAGAACAAAACAAATATTAAAAATTATAATTAAATAAAAATTTCCAAAAATTTAAAAATAAGTAAATCGTATAAAACACAGGAGAGTTGAAGAACTATTTCAGAATGAATAGAAGCAGGGGCAAGGCAATTAAATTTCATGCATGATCCTGTATTAAATTCTAGGCCAAAACAACCAACACTGTACCCCTACTTTGAGAGATAGAGAGAGAAAACAGAAAAGACAGAAAAAAAGAAAGAGAGAGATGAATCTGCATTTTGAAAGAACACATTACTTGTCAGCTGGGCAAATCAACCAAGAATGGCCAATACAATAATATATACTGCAGACAAACTATTCTTAATGTTATATAAAAATTTAGGAAATCCTTAGCTCAGAATACCAGTAAAAACTAGAGCATACTGGTTTCTTCTTCCTAAAATATAGAAGGTTTTTTATTAAATACATGGTTTATGGAACTGAATAGTGAATAATAATTGATATTGGTTATTCCACAGATGCTTGAAAAAGAACAAATTCTAAGAATGTGATTATTTCTGCTCTGCTACTTCAGCACAAGCTTCACAACCCAAAATATGTACCCAACTCCACCACGAAAAAAAAAACACACAAAGACATCTTGGTCACTCTTTTATTTGGGGGCTTTGCTTCTTTTCACTGAATATATACTTTTCAAAAACACAATAAGATGGCCTTAGGGGCTCCTCATTTTCCCCGAAGTGTTATTGGAGATGAGTCATCCACTGTAAAATCTTAATAGTAAGGTATAGTAAGGACATGGAATTTTGTTTACTGCCTTGATTCAACCTCTGGAAAAGATAATTTTAATCTAAAAAGAAATTACAAAGTTAAAAACTGAATAGATACTGGATTCCAGATTTCATCAACAGGATTTCATCAACCCATCTTTCTAATACAAGTCTGAGACATAAATGTTCCTAACATGATAAGGAAGCCAAGTTTCTGCTTATTGCTTATTTGATCTGTTTTGCTTTGCTTTTCATTCCACTGGTAGTTTTGTTTTTTTTTTCATAATAGAAATACACTGCTATATAGATACAGAGAGCTCATACAATTTTCCTTAAGGGTAACATTTTTACTGACATTTACAGAATATTACCTATTTTACTTCCAGTTGTACCTAAAATACTCATTCGATTATAAGCACTGTGTAAAAATAAACATTGGTTCCATGATTATCTATAGAGACAATTAATATTTTGTGTAAATAGTAGATTGTATATTTGTCACTATAGCTCCTGGCACCTGTCAATTCTGTACAGGTTATAAAAAATTAATGCCTGGTACTTGACAGGTTCATTAAACATGTCAGAGGCATGTGAAGATAGACTTCTCACAATACCAAAAATATTAAATGAATGCCAGATTTTCAAATGTCTGACACATATCCATGAAGTTTCATCACACACAAGCCATGTTTGGCTGACAGCCTGCTCTTAAAAGAGTTGGTAAAGAAGCATCTGTAGTGGGAATTCAAGACAACTGCTGCCTGAAATACTCTATTTAGAGAGTGACCTTTCAGTTCTTAAGATGATTACTCTAATTCCACAGTAGATATCACAAAGAGGCACTGGGCATAAATTTAGATACCACACCACAGGGCTCAAGGGTGAAACTCAAAGTGAGAATCAGTCCAAGAGCCTAGACTAATACTGACAAGATATCTAAAACACAAAAAGCAAATGACAAACTACTTACAGTAGCCTTAGTGAGAGACATTTTTAAAAAAAATACAAAACGAAACACTTAGAATGTCAGTTAAAAATGTAAAACAAAATTGGAATTTTTCAGTATTGCAGAGTGGTACAAATCTACTTGGAGGAAGACAGGATGGAGAGGCAATTTTTAAATATGTAACAACATAATTGCCACAAGATTCTTGAATTCCCTTTTATATTCAGAAATTAATAGATCTATATTTCATGCAATAACAGCAATGCACATTACCATAGCACTGAAGACCAAGATTAACTAGAATGCAGTAAGAGAATTAACACCTGAAGGCTTGGAAATTTTACTTTCTAATTGTCTTAGTCCATTTAGCTGCGATAACAAAATACCAAAGACTGAGTAGCTTATGAACAACAGAAATTTATTTCTCACAGTTCTGAAGGCTGGGAAGTCCATGAACAAGGAGCCCACAGCTTTTATATCCAGAGAGGGCGCTATCTTGGTTCATGATGGCACCTCCTTGCCACCAGGAAAGCTGATGCTGTGTTATTCTGTCTCTAAAGGCGGGAGAATCCAAAGGGCCAATGGTGTAACTCTCTGTCCAAAGTTGAAGGTCTGAGAATGTGGAGGGGCCGCTGATGCAAGTCCTAACATATGAAGGCCCAAGAACTTGGAGTTCTGATTTTCAAGGGCAAGAGAAGATGGATGTCCCAGTTGCAGAAGAGAAAGCAAATTCACCCTTCCTCTTTCATTTTGTTCTAAGTCCTCAATGGATTGGAAGATGCCCATCTACATAAGTGAGGGTGGAGCTTCTTTATTCAGTTTACTGATCCAAATGCTGATTTCTTCCCCAGAAACCCTCACAGAGACACTCAGAAATAGTTTTTCCAGCTGTCTAGGAATCCTTAAACCCAGTCCTGTCAACACATAAAATTATTCATTACACCAATAATTGAAAGAGATTTTGTCAATAAATGCTTTCTTTTTTTTTTTTTTACAAAGAAGAGTGTGGGTTAAGCCAACTTTTGAAGTCATTGTGATCTAAAATAACTTGATAATTAAAATCTGAGCATTCCTCTCAAAATATCTTAAAATTGGGGCTTTCACTTTAATGCTGAAGATATGAAGAATGTTCATGTCTTCAAACAACTGTAGATCATGTTGAAATATACAGTTAAGGGAGTATTCATATTTTTCTAAAAGTCTTATATCAGTCGATGCCCATGTAAATAAATGTCATAACGTTTCTTATTATTGTGGTTTTAAACAGTTTATTGTGTATCAGAATCACTTGAAGTTCTTTTGTTAAATGTAGATCATTGGTTCTCACCTCCAATGTTCTGTAGTTGTTTTCCTTTTTTCCTACATGAATTTGCATTTACCAGTACCCCAAGAGAATCATGAAAGTCATCAACCAGCCACAATTTAAAACATATTGGTATACAGGGATGATATTATAAACTAATTGAGGAGGTGGCTACATGCATAGCATACTTTTAGGTTCCTAAGTTGACATACAAAAAAAAATAGCTATCAAATATTTATATGCTAAAAGTCATCCTATGAAATGTATTTGTTTGTCAAAGTGTTTAAACTTTTCCAGAAGTTTTAAACTTTAAATAATGCAAACATAGCATTATGTATAGTTTAAACAAACTTTTCAAGGCCAACATAGCGAACTATTTGACAGCAAGGTAAGCATTTTTGAGTCAAAGGTACCACTGAAAAGAGCAATGGAAGGCCGGGCATGGTGGCTCACACCTGTAATCTCAGCTTTTTGGGAGGCCAATGCAGGTGGATCACTTGAGGTCAGGAGTTCAAGACCAGACTGGCTAACATGGTGAAACCTCATCTCTACTAAAAATACAAAATTAGCTGTGCGCAGTGGCGCATACCTGTAATTCCAGCTACTCAGGAGGCTGAGGCAGAAGAATCGCTTGAACCTGGGAGGTGGAGGTTGCAGTGAGTTGAGATCATGCCATTGCGCTCCAGCCTAGGTGACAGAGCAAGACTATGTCTCAAAGAAAAATAATATATATAGAGAGAGCAGTGAGACAGTCTTTGAAATGAGAACCAATGATCTACTTTTAACAAAAGAACTGAAAATGAGTCCATGATTTTTAGACTCAGTTGAAGTTCTTCATTGCAAGGTGTGAGATGTGATGTCTCCAATTGCTTCCAAGGGAGCAGGTAATGCAATCTAGAAGTTTGCAAGTTGATTGGTATGAATTAAACATTGATTATTGGGCATAAGACAGATGGGAACAACAGGTAAACTTCCTTTCCGTCTCCTCTCCTGTATAGCTTCTCTAAAGATTTCCAGGGAGACGAAGCAACTGGCCATTCTTGCTATAGTTGTGTCCTGCTTGCTAATGCATGTTGTTAGTTTTCAATCCTGCCTTGTCTTATTCAGTCCTATTTCAACAGAATTAAACATCTCTACTTAAGCTCAGAAGACATTTTTGCTGCAAGTTCTGCTTTCTTGAGAACCTTGGCTAAAACACTGGTTTGACTAGAGTTGTGACTGGCTTCTAGATGACTGAATCAGCCAGTATGTAGTGCCATAGCAGAAAAAGGGGGAGGAATGAATACCCTGATCCCATTCTCCTCCTGTCTTTATCTCCTGGCCATGCCTTCTATTGAAAACAATCAGAAAACAAGGGCAAGGGACTTCTCAAGTCACAGAGTAGGGTGGAGAATGGAGAAGCGTAAATCCCAAGGGGCAAGTTGGAAACATTAAGCCAGAAGGTCTGGAGACAGGCCTGAAACCATACTGTGCCTTGGTTTTCTCATGCTTAAAACAACAAAAAGTATTTGAATATTTACATGGCCTTGCATCAAAAAGTATTTTCTTTTTTTTTTTCTCTTGTTTTATTTTTTTATTTTTTATTTATTTATTTATTTATTTATTTTTATTATACTTTAAGTTTTAGGGTACATGTGCACATTGTGCAGGTTAGTTACATATGTATACATGTGCCATGCTGGTGTGCTGCACCCACTAACTCGTCATCTAGCATTAGGTATATCTCCCAATGCTATCCTTCCCCCCTCCCCCCACCCCACCACAGTCCCCAGAGTGTGATATTCCCCTTCCTGTGTCCATGTGATCTCATTGTTCAGTTCCCACCTATGAGTGAGAATATGCCGTATTTGGTTTTTTGTTCTTGTGATAGTTTACTGAGAATGATGATTTCCAATTTCATCCATGTCCCTACAAAGGACACGAACTCATCATTTTTTATGGCTGCATAGTATTCCATGGTGTATATGTGCCACATTTTCTTAATCCAGTCTATCATTGTTGGACATTTGGGTTGGTTCCAAGTCTTTGCTATTGTGAATAATGCCAAAAAGTATTTTCATCACAAGTTTGTTGTAAGAATTAAGAGTCATTGACTCAAGACAGAATCAATACAAGAGTGTCGGGCACATGATAGGTACTCACCAAATATTAGTCATTATTATCACAATTAACCATCATTATCTTTAATAAAATGGACATCTTAGATTTTGAAGAGGTGCCAGAAGCATTAGGATTATTTAAATTTATTTTCATTTCTTTAGAAAAATTATGTTTTTAGGGCAATAAAAATTAGGCAATTTACATTTTGGCTTCTATTTTTAATGTTTGTTCCTAAGTTCAAATGTTAAATTTTTCAATATATTCCAACATTTTTTTCAACTTTTTTTTCAAAATACATTTTACAGAATTTACCAACTTCTTCAAGTTTTCCATATCAAGCATTTTGCCAACCACATTGTTATGTACTAATTGTTTTCCTTTATTTACAGTATTTTAATAATCAATTGTAACACAAAAAGAGCACAGTGAAATAGTTTTATATTGAGGTATTATAGGCAGTTGTAGTTTGGAGTGCTCTAACAAATTTTCCTATCTAAATATTTATTCTGTAAAGTACATGGAATAAATATACTTGTAATTAATGGAAAATTATTTTAATACTTAAAGGAAGTAAAAAGTGTAATAATTCTCAGTGAAAAAGTTCATACACTGGGAAGCAATAAAAAGTAGAAAATATTTGTTCATAAAATATTAAATACTTATTAAAATGAAAACAAAGTAAATAACCATTAATATTTTAATAAAATAAATGGTTATTATTTTAACTAACTTTAATAAATAATTATTTATTAAACTAAGTTAACTATTAATTTATTCAACTAAGTTAATTATTTAATGATAAATATTTTGTTTAAAAATGTATATGTAACATTTATGATTTTGTAGCTCATAGGCACTGATCTACAAAGCCTTATAACATGAATTGTATTTCCTGAATGTTCAATTTTTCATTATGTATCCTAAAAAGAAAAGCAGGATTAAAGAGGCCATTCAGGTAAAGGGAATAATATAGTTATGTTCACATAGAATTATTAGAGAAAATAATGTTTTTCAAGTGGATCAATGGAAGAATAATTGAGAAAGCTGTGGGCTCTCAGAGACTCCTGGAGATATTGATTGCCTTGTAACAGTATTTAGAAAATAGTCTTTTTCATTAAAAATTTTTATGTAAGAAATTTTATTCTGAGGTAAATGTAATCCTCACTAAGCATTTCTATTTTCAATGAAGTTACTTTTATGTAATTTGTTATTTTTAGGAAAATTTTGAAATTTTATTTTATGTTTCTAAAGAACTAGGAATTAAAATACTGTAAGCATTTTTAAATGTTATGTTTTATTACCTGCTCACAATTCATTCTCATAATACTAATACAAATAATAAGATTTTAAAAACCTCTCTTACCTCCACCCAACCTACTTTTGTAAGCTTAAGGAATTATTATTGTAATATATAACATTTTGGTAAATGACTTTCCACTCCTATTTTTCTATGAATTTTAAAAACCATAATGCATAAAGATGTGTGTTTTATGTTTCTCCTAACAGTAAATATTTTCATTCATTCAATCAAATTCATCAGTATCTTGATACTTTTTAAAACTTGACAATAGATCTTGAAGTCATTTCATTATTAATTATGAATCCACATTAATGATTTTACCTTGGAAAACAGAAATGCATTTTAATAGAATAGTAACAAGGTTATTTTTAAATAACAAAAAGTAGAACATTCTTAAATATTCCCGGGAATCACACCACTGTCTTCAACTTAGAACAATAGCCTTTTCCCTAGGTACTGAATGTGGACTTCCTCAGTGATTTTAAATACATTATTAAGACAGAGCTTTTCTACATGGCACTACAGATGCTGACACTAAATACATAAATATCATAAGCATTTCACATCAGATTATTTAGGAATCTTAGTTAATACTATATGATTAGATGAAGAACAGTGATGATTTAGAGAACTCTAATAAGTAAGGTTTTTTTTTAATGTGTTTTTCTTAATTTGTCTCTAGCTTAGAAGTTATCTATGGTTCTTGCCAATTACTTCCTTGAACTTGAAACTCCATTTTGTGAACTGGAAATTGAAATAATTTGATATAAAACACGTTGGCATAGTTTTTGTGTTTATGACAACATATACAATGCCTTTTATCTAAATTTAAAATATAACCAAGAAACACAGTATTTAAAAATGATGGAGCTGGGTGTGGTGCCTTATGCCTGTAATCCCAGCACTTTGAGAGGCTGAGGCGGGAGGTCACGTGAGTCCTGGAGGTCGAGGCTGCAGTGAGCTGTCTTTGCACCATTGCACTCTACCCTGGGTAACAGAGTGAGAGTCTGTCTCAAAGAAAACAAAGAAAAAAAAATGAACGAACTAAACAAATGATACTTAAACTATTTACACATGGCATTGACGATCCAGTTTTTTAACACTGTCATCTTATACGGTATTAAAATATTTTATGAATTAGTCTTTTTAAAACATCAAATCATATAAAAGAAGTGATCGAATACGTTTTCTTGTTATCTCCAAATTCATTATCATAGTAAATAAAATATGTTTAGTGCCTACTTCGTACCACGCTAGCTTCTACTTAGCAGTGCGTTAGTACTGTTTTAAAACAAACACACACATACACACAACTGCATGCAAACACAAAAATCTAAGAAAATGTAGAAAACGAAGTTAGAGTTGATAAAGCACTATGATGAAGGGCAAAACAAACAAAAATAACTGCCATATTTTATATTTGACATATTGTTAATTTTGGAGAAGTTAGTCTGGAAAGAATATTGAAAATACTATTTTAAAGAAAATTAAAAGCAATATTTCTGGCAAAAAATATGATACAATTTTATAAATGTTTTATCCTACAGTAATTCCTTTTGGACAATTAGTCTTGTATAGTATTTTTCTCTCCTATAATTGTTGAGTTATATTAAGGGTGTATCTTTTATTCATTGTTGGAAATTTATTTTGTAGGTATAAAATGTGGTTTTTCTAACATACTGGCTTATGTATCGAAGGACTGTCTTGCTTTGAAAGACTTTATGTGAAAAGCATTTGAGTCTTCGGTAAAAGAAGTCAGTTTGGTGTAACAAAGAACTGAGATTGAGTTTGACAGGAAATGGAGGAAAAGGCACACCCTGAGAGGCTAGTCATAGAAAATGGCAAACCAAATACAGCAAGCTAGATATCAATCTAAGGTGTAATTTATAAATCCATTCAGAAACAGGGACATGATTTGATGTCATAGGGGAAAGTCTCAGAGTATTCAAGTAACAAACAAAATATTTAGGTGGCAAGCACAGGAAGCAAACTGGAAACCAATAAAATTTCATGACAAATAAACGCATATGAAAATCAGCAGCCTGGTTCAACTCTCCTGGAAGGATACCTAATGATATCTCCTGGGAGTTTCAAGATACCAGTCAGGGATCAAAACTTGAGATCTACAGTATAAAAAAGATCAATTGGTAAAATAATAATGTTGAGTAAGTCGGTAATTGCAAAGGACCGAAGCAGAAGCCCCATCTGTAATTGAACTACAGAAAGGGTACACGTCCCAGATCTGGTTTACAATAATAGGGAAGCAAAGGGGAAACACAGTGGTCTGGCCTGTTTAGGACTAGGTTTGAAGAACTTGACTTAACATTAAAACCCATTAAAATTGTGAGCTGACTTGGGTAACTTCCAACCTTAGCCACACATTTCTCAGGACGTGGACAATAATTTATCATAGGAGTTATGGTCAGTTTGGGAAGTTTTCAAATACTCAAATGACCTCCTTGTCCCTAGAATCCTCTATTTCTTCCAGTCAACCACCTCCGTGTTTATTATCTTGCATATCCTACTAAACATAACACTTGTAATACTTTTAAATGAATGTGATAAAGTTTCTTCCATTGTAATCTTTCCTTTGCAGTAGCCCAGGGGAAAAATGTCATTTGCATTAATTTACAATCCTTCCTCAAGATAATTCTAAATGAATGCTTTTTCATTTTTCCACCAAGCTGTTACGCAGTAATGAAAACTACAATCCAATTATGGAGACAAGTGTCCCTATATATCCATATTAGGTGGTGGGTGTTGCCTGCTCCAACATAACTTTTTCCTCATTAGTTCTTTCATTCTCTGTAACAGTTACTCTGAAATTCTAAGCTTCTTGTTTGTGGTAGTCATTATCATTATTAGTAAAATATTTCTGGTTTTCTGCTGCTCTTGGCCCAGAATAGGATTGACTCTGGGGTGGAACTAGATAACCATTCTTGTCAGCAAAGTCTGAATAAAGTGTTCTTTCTGGGCCAGCAGGTTTTATTGGCGGTTTGAGACCATCCAGATATCTCTCTCTGTGCACAGGAATGAACAGCACTCCAGATGGTGCAGCTCCGTCAGCCTTGATGCCCAATTGTACACAATGAATGGACTTCCCACCTGGCTATATGTTATATGCTCAAACAAGAATGACCATACAGCATTAATGACACATATAACTGCTACTTACAGACAATTGGATTTGTGCTTTGTATTTTATGGATGTATAAACTTACCCAGGCTGTCTGATCCACCCCCTTCTCACATTTAGTTTAATAAAAAAATTAGAAGCCATCATCTAAGAAACCCATGCAATCCTTGTTTGTCTCTGAAGCATCCATGTATCTTCCATTCTGTGTGAATTTAATGTCACCTGTACTCCTGGTTTTACTTACTTAATTCTCTTGGCACCCTCATTTTATCATTGTCTATCTTATCTATGTAACCCATCCCTTCTATTATATTTAGATGACTAAAAGTTTGTTTCTGGAACTCTATTCTGTTTCATTGTTCTATTGGTTTATCTTTGCACCAATCCCACATTGTTTCAATTACTCTAGATTTTTGACAAGTCTTTCAATATAGCAGTATGTTTAAGTAAATTATCAAGCTTAGGGTTCTTTTTTAAGATTTTTTTTTTGGCTATTTTTGGCCCTGGGTATTTTCATATGTATCTTAGAACCAGTATGTTGATTTTGGCAAATATTATTATTCTGGGTGTGGCCTATAGTTGAATTTAAAATAAGCATCTTTATATCATTGGATTTTCTAGTATATGAATGTAAGATACATTCTTATGTTTACTTTGCTCCTCTTTAATTTCTCTCATCAATGTTGTGTAATTTTCAGGTACTGACCTTTCATTTTATTTTGGCTGTTTAAGGCTTTGGTGTTTTTTGTAGAACTGTAAATTGTATTATTTAAATTTTTAATATTTAAATAATATATTGTATAAACATAAAATTAAATATAAATAATATTTAAATATTTAATATTGTTTGTTTTCAAAATATAGCTTAATAATCTTTTTGTGTTTTGAGTATAAAGGTTTGTTAAATATTGTATGAGATTTATGTCTTCTTCCTGTTTGTGTGTATGGTTTCTTGATGCTACTGTAATAGTAATTTTTTTAGATTTAAATTTCTGATAGCCACTGATATATAAAAATACAACTGGCCAGGCTCGGTGACTCATGTCTGTAATCTCAACACTTTTGGAGGCTGAGGCAAGGTTGCTTGAGCCCAGAAGTTTGAGACCAATGTGAGCAACAGGGTAAAATCCTGCATCTACCAAAAATAACAAATAAAAGAATAGCTGGGCTTGGTGGCATATGCCTGTAGTCTCAGCTACTCAGGAGGCTGAGGTAGGAGGATCACTTCAGCCCATGAGGTTAAGGCTGTGGTGAGCCATTATTGCACCACTGAACTCTAGCCCGGATAACAGAGCAAGGTCCTGTTTCAAAAAATAAAAATAAAAAAAACTTAAGAAAAGTAGCACAGGGTGTGGTACTCCCCCTGGGGCATACCATAGACTCCACAAAAGTGGAGTGTCAGTGATGAGATAGCTGAGGCGCACTTTTCTGCTCTAGGTCTTTCTCAGAGTTGACGGCCTTTCATATCGCCTGTGATATGGGCCTAAACAGCATTCTCAGGTGTAGATTATGGTGTCTCCAGAAGCCAAAAAAAAACTAGCTAGTGTTTTTAGATGTTTTTATTTTGTTTTGTTTTTGCATGAAGAGCAGTGCAAAACAAAATAAAAAGATAGCTACCACTGAACTTCTTAATGATGTTGCTGCCCTTTCATTAGCACATTCTTTTATGACAGTGATAAACGTATGTTCTGAGTCTTCCTTTGGAACATTGTCATGATATGTTTATACATTATTTATTCACTTTTCTGAATATTTTATTGTCTTCCTTCACCAGCAGAAAATTTGTACATCAACCTCACTTAGCAGGTGGGCATCAGTTTTTTCCATGCTTCTGGAACCATCTTGGTAGTAAGTTTGCAAAATCTCTTGGAGTCCTTACCAGGATTTTCAGTTCTATATTTTGGATGCTTCACCCCAGTCAATAACATTTGCCTTTCCAATCTCATATTTTATCTGCCTTATCAAAATTAATTTTTGATATGGTTTGGATCTGTGTCCCCACCAAATCTCATATTGAATTGTAATTTCTAGTGTTGGAGGTGAGGCCTGGTGGGAGGTAATTGGGGTGAAGTTTTCATGAATGGTTTAGTACCATCCCCTCAGTGCTTTTATAGTTCTTGATTTCATTACCTTCAAATATCCACCCAGATGTGAGATTGTTAGATCATATATGATAGTGTTATTTTTTAATATTTTAAGAACTTCTATACTATTTTTCATAATGGCTGTATAAATTTATATCCTTGCCAATAGTGTAGAAGGGTCCCTTTACTCCACAGCCTCACCAACACTTGTTAACCTTTGAATTTTTAGTAAGAACCTTCCTAACAGGTTTAAGGTATATCTCATTGGGGTTTTCTATTTGCATTTCTTTGATATTAGTGATATTGTGCTTTTTTAGACATTTGTATGACTTCTTTGGAAAAAATGTATATTCAAGGCCATTGCCCTTTTTGTAAGTGGGTGATTTTTTTCTAATATTGAGTTGTATGAGTTCTTTATATATTTGGATATTAACACTTTATTAGCTAAATGGCTTGCAAATATATTCTCCCATTTCATAGGTTGCCTTTTCATGTTCTTGAATGTTTTCTTTTCTTGTCAGGAACTTTTTAGTTTGATGTAGTCCCACTTGTCTATTTTTGCTTTTGTTGCCTGTACTTCGGAGTCTTATTCAGAAAATAATTGCTAAAGCCAATGTCAGAAAACTTTCTCCCAAAGTTTCCTTCAAGGAGTTTTATGGTTTAGGTCTTACATTTAATATTATTTTGAGTAAAATTTTGTGTATATCATGTAAGACAAGCATCAAATTTCATTCCTTTCCACATAGATAGCCAGTTTATTCAACACCGTTTATTGAAGACACAATCCTTTCCCCATTGTGTATTCTTGGTGCCATTGTTGGAAATTAGTTGGCTGTAAATGTGTGGGTTTATTTATGGGCTCTCTATTCTGGCCCATAGGTATATGCGTCTGTTTTTATTCCAATATCATGATCTTTTGATTACTACAGCTTTATAACATAATCTGGAATCAGGAAGTGTGATGCCTCCAAATTCGTACATCTTCCTCAAGACTGTTGTGGCTATTCTAGTTTTGGGAGGTTCTATACAAATTTTAGAATATTTTTTTCTGTGAAAAATACCTTTGGAATTTTAATAGGGATTACATTTTAACAGGGTTTGAATACATAAATCAACTTGGATAGTAGGACATTTTGGGTAGTACGACAACAGTCCACCAAAGTAGGACTTCCTCCTGGCTGCTCTCACAGGCTGGCATTGTTTGCAGCTTTTCCAGGTGCACAGCACAAGCTGTTGGTGGATGTACCATTCTGGAGTCTGGAGGATGACGTACCTCTTCCCACAGCTCCACTAGGTAGTGTCCTGTGTTGGGGCTTCCACCCAACATTTCCCTTTTGCACTGCCCTAGCAGAGATTCTCCATGAGTGCCCTGCCCCTGCAGCAAACTTCTGCCTGGACATCCAGGCATTTCCATACATCCTCTAAAATCTAGGTGGAAGTTCCCAAACCTCAATTCTTAACTACTGTGCACTCCCAGCCTCAACACCTCTTGGATGCTGCCAAGGTCTGGGGCCTGCACCCTCTGAAGCAATGGCCCGAGATTTACCTTGGCCCCTTTTATTCATGGCTAGAGCAGCTAGGATGCAGGATACCAAGTCCCTTGGCTGCACACAGCACGGGGACCCTGGGCCCAACCCATTAAACCATTATTCCTCCTAAGCCTTTAGGCCTGTGATGGGAGGCACTTCCTCAAAGATCTCTAATATGCCCTAGAGAAATTTTGCCTATTGGTTTGGTATTTAACATTTGGCTTCTCATTACCTATGCAGATTTCTGCAGCTGGCTTGAATTCCTCTTCAGAAAATGGGTTTTTCTTTCCTATGGCATAATCAGGCTGCAAATCTTCCAAACTTTTACACTCTGTTTCCCTTTTTAAAGTGAATAGTTTTGACAACACCCAAGTCAACTCTTGAACGCTTTGCTGCTTAAAAGTTTCTTCTGCCAGATACCCTAAATCATCTCTGTCAAGTTCAAAGTTCTACAAATCTCTAGGGAAGGGTCAAAATGCCACCAGTCTTTTTGATAAAACATAGCAAGAGTCATCTTAACTCCAGTTCCCAAAAAGTTCCTCATCTCCATCTGAGACCACCTCAGCCTGGATTTCATTGTCCATATCTTTATCAGCATTTTGGTCAAAGCCGTTTAACAAGTTTCTAGGAGGTTCCAAACTTTCCCACATTTTTCTGTCTTCTTCTGAGCCCTCCAAACTGCTCCATCCTCTACCTGTTACCCAGTTCCAAAGTCACTTCCACATTTTTGGGTATCTTTACAGTAGCACCCCACTCCCTGTACCAATTTACTCTATTGGTCTGTCCTCATGCTGCTAATAAAGACATACCCAAGACTGGGTAATTTAAAAGAAAAAGAGGTATAATGGACTCACAGTTCTATGTGGCTGAGGAAGCCTCACAATCATGGCAGAAGGTGAAAGGCACACCTTACATAGAGGCAGGTATGAGAGCCAAGCAAAAGGGGTTACTCCTTACAAAACCAGCAGATCTCATCAGACTTATTCTCTACCATGGGAATAATATGGGGAAAACTGTCCCCATGATTCAATTATCTCCCAGTGTGTCCCTCTCACAAAATGTAGAAAATATGGGAGTTTAAATTCAATATGAGATTTGGGTGGGGACACAGCCAAACCACATAAGTTAGTATATAGAAACACTATTTATTTTGCATATTTTTATTCTGCAACTTTGCTGAATTTGCGTATCAGTTCTAATAGTTTTTTAATGTGATGTTTATAATGTTCTCTATATAAGATCATGTTGTCAGAACATGGACAATTTTGCTTCTTCCTTTCCTATTTGAATGCCTTTTATTTATTTCTCTTGCCTAATTTTTGTGCCTGTGATATTTAGTACTGTATTGAATAGAAGTGTTCAGAGAGGTTATCCTTGCCTTATTTCTCATCTTAGAGATAAAGCTTTCACCTTTTTACCAAAGAGTATGATATTAGCTGTGGGCTTGTTATGCATAGCCTTTGTTTTGTTGAGGTACATTCGTTCTGTGCCTAATGTTTGAGAGGTTTTACCATGAAAGGATGTTAGATTTTGTCAAATAATTTTCCTGAATTGATAATGATGACCATATGCTTTTTGTTTTTCATTCTGTTAATTTGATGTATGATGTTTATAGATTTGTATATGTAAAAATATCCTTGCACCCCATGGATATATCCCACTTTGTAGTGGTGAATGAACGTTTAAATATGCTGTTGAATTCAGTTTGCTACCATTTTGTTGAGGATTTTTGCATCTATGGTCATTAGGAAAATTGGTATCATTTTATTTTTTTATTTACAGTGTCCTTGTATGGCTTTTGTGTCAGGATAAAAAAGAAAAACTTTAAAATGATTGAAGTAATTTTATGACAACATTTTAAAAGGCTTTGAAAATAATTTTGTACTTGATTTTGAAAAAAAATGCCTGAGTTGTTGGAAATATTTCATTAATTAATTATATTCAATGCAATATTTATGATATTATTTAACTCATATTTTGATTATTTGTATGTATTTCACCTTCATGCTGAAAAAGAAACTTTGGCATCCTTTGCATTCTTTACCTTTTTTCCAAAGTCTCTAAAGACTGGTATTATTTCCCCACTTATTTGTGTCCATTATATGAACAGAACTATTTACTAAATTTGTTTTTCTGATACTGAATTGTAAAGAACAAAGAAAATACAGTGTAACTATTTTTAATATCACCATCCTACTGTATCAAAGATTTCAGAATAGTATAACCTGTTGTTTTTACTGTGGTTAGCCAGTCTATTACAACATTGCCAAATGGAATTTGGTGCTATTTATCTAAATGATACATATTCAACCTTTATTTCCACAGAAATCAAAAGCATACATTGCATATTAAATTTCTGAAATAATGAGAATTATTTTGTAATCTTTCGACATTGAAATATTTATTCTATAAAAGTTTAATAATACGTTATAAGTGTGCATTCTCTCTCCCTCTCTCTCTCCCTCCCTCTAGTCATACATCTTAACAGCAGTGATACATTCTAAGAAATGGATTGTTAGGTGATTTTGTCATTGTGCGAACATCACAGAATGACGATGGTATAGACTAGCTGGTATAGTCCACTACACACCTAAGGTATATGGTACGGACTATTGCTTCTAAGCTACAAACCTGTATAGCATGTTACTTTAATAAATTGTGAAACAATTGTAAGCATGTGTGAATCCAAGCATATCTAAATATTGAAAAGGTACAGTCAAATATGGTATGAAAGATAAAAAATAGTACATTTATATAGGAAACTTACCACTAATGGAGCTTGCAGTACAGGCAGTTGCTCTGGGTGTCAGTAAGAGGTTGGTGAATGTGAAGTCCTAGGAAATTATTGTAACTATTGTAGACTTTATAAACACAGTACACTTAGGCTACAGTAAATTTTAGAAAAAATATATTTTTCTTAATAATAAATTAACCTTTACTTACTGTGAAATTTTACTTTATAAACTTTTCGATTTTATTTTAACTTCTTTTTTTTTTGAGACAGAGTCTCACTCTATCCCCCAGGCTGGAGTGCAGTGGTGCATCTGGGGTCACCGTGACCTCTGCCTCCTGGGGTCAAGTGATTCTCCTGCTTCAGCCTCCTCGGTAGCTGGGATTACAGGAGCCTGTCACTATGCCCAGCTAATTGTTTGTATGCTTAGTAGAGACAAGGTTTCGCCATGTTGGCCAGGCTGGTCTTGAACTCCTGACCTCAGGTAATATGCCCGCCTCGGCCTCTCAAAGTGCTGAGATTACAGGCGTGTGCCACCATGCTCAGCCTATTTTAACCTTTTAATTCTTGTAATAACACAGTTTAAAACACAAACACGTTTTACAACCGTACAAAAACATTTTTATATCCTTATTCTATAAGCTTTTTGTCTATTTTTAATTTTTTAAAGAGATTTTTACTTTGTAAACTTTTTGGTTAAAAGCTAAGACACAAACACACACATTAGCTTAAGCCTATATGGAATTAGAACTATCAATATCGCTGCCTTCCCCCTCTCCCTCTTGTCCCACTGGAAGGTCTTCAGGAGCAATAATACGTATGGCACCGTCATCACCAATGATAACAACGCTTGGCCGGGCCCAGTGGTTCACGCCTGTGATCCCAGCACTTTGGGAGGCCAAGGTGGGTGGATCACGAGGTCAGGAGATCAAGACCACCCTGGCTAACACAGTGAAATCCCGCCTCTACTAAAAATACAAAAAATTAGCCAGGCGTGGTGGCAGGCGCCTGTAGTCCCAGCTACTTGGGAGGCTGAGGGAGGAGAATGGCGTGAACCCGGGAGGCGGAGCTTGCAGTGAGCCGAGATAGCGCCACTGCACTCCAACCTGGGCGACAGAGACAGAGTGAGACTCCGTCTCAGAAACAAACAAACAAACAAAAAAACAATGCCTTCTTCTGGAATACCTCCTGAAGGACCTACCTGAGGCTGTTTTAGAGTTCAGTTTTTTTAATTTTGTAAGTAGAAGGAATACACTATAAAATCACTGCGAAAGTATGGTAATAACAAATACGTAACCCAGTAATATCTTTATTTATTATTATAATGAAGCGTCATGTACTATGCATAATTGTATTGTTAGACTTTTATACCACTGGTGGTACAGTAGGTTTGCTTGCAACAGCATCACCAGAAACACATCAGAAATGTGTTGTGCTATGACGTTATGACAGCTACGACATCACTAGGGGATATGGAATTTTTTTTAGCTCCATTATAATCTTGTAAGACCACTGTCCCATTTATGTGGTCTTCCATTGACCAAAACATTGTTATGCAGTGCATGACCAAATATCTATGTATGTGTAGTATCTGGTAGTTTCTTACAAAGCAGTAGCACCATTATTTTTTCTAATAGAATTAACAATCATCCTAAAATGTAATGTAATACACAGTTCATATTCAAAAGTCTCAAAAATATTTCCTAGCTATTTTGTTTTACAAACTGCAATCTAATCCAGCCTTTCTTGTTACAATTTTCGCTGTGTTTTTAGTGTCGATTTTTGTCACTTACAACATTGAACAATATACCCAGCTGTTGTTGTCGATGTTTCAAAACATTGATTTTTGAAAAAAACTAAGTCACTTTTCATGTAGAAAGTAATAGGCTCTGGATTTGTTTGATTGCGTTCTTATGTTATTTCATGTGTTCTTCTGCCCCTGAAAAATCCAAGTTAAGTCTAGAGACTTGGCTACATTCCAGATACATTGACTGGTAAGAACTCTTCATAAGTGAAGATGTCTACTTCATACCATGTTATGTCAGGAGGCACTAAATGTTCTTTCGTCTTATCCTTAGAGATGATTTTTTTTTTATCACTTGGTTAATGACTACTAGGTCTACCCATTATAAATGTCTGTTATTCATTTTTAATTGCTAATTAATACATCAGGTCATAATTTGAAAACATAAAATGACTTATTCCTTAATACTTTTTCTACTGTTAATTTTTAGCTTCATAGATGAGCCTCACCTTAATTTATGACTACACTGAGGGCTGTAAAATGATGATTTCTAAGTTTTCCTGCTGTATTTATTAGCAGCTACTACTCTGTAAATCATGTCACTATAGATTCACAAACTTCTTTATTTCCATGTGTTAATCACATCATTATTCCTTTGATGCTAAAAATATCCCAAATGTGTACTGTGAGAACCACTTTAAACTTGCCCCTGTGTGCTTTTGACATTACCATTACTTTTGTTTGTTTTGTTTATTTGTTTACATCCTGGAAGAATAAGAGATCCAGATTAATGTTGTACTTTTTCTGCTCAGACTTGGCATCAACCATTTCTCCAGAGGTATGTGATTCTTCTTAGTAGGTAATGACATTTAAATACAAATGAAGTATAAACACATGATATTTAAAGACAATGGTATCTAAACACAATGATCTGGATGCTGGCTTTATAATTATTGCTGAAGTGGCATTGCTTTTAGACCTAAAGGTATGATTTTATGAAAATGTGCAATTCAAATTATAGGACTTTGTCCTAAATGAAAATAATTACTTTTATTTTATATTTGTCTCTACATTCTATAAGAACAATGAAAAGAGTGAGTCCTATTTACAATAATATATTACATACACATTCTATAATATAAATGTTTATTTTCATATAAGGAAATACATATAAATTTGTATGTTTCTATATATAATAGTTTAAACATTGCAATATGAATGTCACTACTATAAATAAGCCTGTACTATAAATCAACTTATACTATAAATAACGTATAAGACACTTTTATATTTTAAAAATATTTTATAAAAAAGGAAAAAATATTATATGAAGAATATAAGTCAAAACACTATGTTCCAAATTACTTGAAACATTTCTTTCCTCTATGTATTAGTCAGGGTTCTCTAGAGGGACAGAACAAACAGGGTAGATGGATATACGATGGGGAGTTTATTAAGGAGTATTGACTCATGATCACAAGGTGATTTTCCGCAACAGGCCATCTGCAAGCTGAGCAGCAAGGAAGCCAGTCCCAGTCCCAAAACCTCAAAAGTAGGGAAGCCAACGGTGCAGCCTTCTGTCTGTGGTCGAAGGCCTGAGAGTCCCTGGCAAACCACTGGTGTAAGTCGGAGAGTCCAAATGTAAGTCCCAGAGTCCAAAACCTGAAGAACTCTGAGTCTGATGTTTGAGGGCAGGAAGCATCCAACGCGGGAAAGATGAAGGCCAGAAGACTCAGCAAGCTGGCTTCTCCCACTTCTTGTGCCTGCCTTATTCTAGCCCCGCTGGGAGTTGATTAGATGGCATCCACCCAAATAGAGGGTACGTCTGTCTTTCCCAGTCCACTGACTCAAATGTTAATCTCCTTTGGCAATCTCACAGACACACCCAGGATCAATACTTTGCATCCTTAAGTCCAATCAAGTTGACACTTAATATTAACCCTCACACTCTATGTGTGTAGTTAGACGGTTGCTCCATAACTCATAGCATGCACAAATGTTGGAGAATAAGATAAGGAAATCTTCCAATGATGTTTACTTACTCAGTAAGAATGGCAGCTCTAGGCTGGGTGCGGTGGCTAACACCTATAATGCCAGCACTCTCGAAGGCCAAGGCGGGGAGATGATCTGAGGTCAGGAGTTCGAGACCACCCTGGCCAACATGGCAAAACCCCATCTCTACTAAAAATACAAAAATTAGCTGGGCGTGGTGGCGGACGCTTGTAACACTAGCTACTTCGGAGGCTGAGGCAGGAGAATCTCTTGATCCAGGGAGGCGGAGGTTGCCGTGAGCCAAGATCACGCCATTGCACTCCAGCCTGGGTGACAAGAACGAAACTCCGTTAAAAAAAAAAGAATAGCAGCTTTAATCAATCACATTATAACTACACATCCTATTCAAAATAAAATTGTGCTATAGAATTAGAAATAAGGAAAATATGAAGTCTTTGCTAGTTACATAATCTGCAGAGGATCAAGCATTGAGTGATAAACATGTGATTAGATCTTATCTGTTTTAATTCCAATCTTCTTTCTCAAAGTTACAGTTGTGGGCAAATATGATGCTGGCAAATTCAGAACGACAAGATGTTGATCTTCCCTTTTAACTTTCCCATGGAATAAAAAATAGATAACAAATTATAAATGAATCCCAATTTTGCCATTTTAATACAGGATTTAAAGAAGCACTAAACAAGCCAAGACAGTAATAAGAAATTATATAATGAAATAATTCTTCATGACTATAAAGCAGGATTGAGCTGTACAGTTATTTTCTATCCCCAAGAGGCATTGGCATCATCAATCTCCAATCAGGCACTTGGGGGCAGTAGTGTTCCTCTTATTCTGTGTTGTCCTGTGGTTTCTTTGAG
This sequence comes from Homo sapiens, assembly GCF_000001405.40. NCBI lineage: Eukaryota > Metazoa > Chordata > Mammalia > Primates > Hominidae > Homo > Homo sapiens. The sequence goes on along the minus strand of NC_000005.10, from coordinate 26,700,914 downwards.
TATTGCTGTCTTTTCAAGGTTTTTCTACATTGATAGCTCGATATTGTATATTACAATAAAGGATTTTTTAATGTCTTTTTCTGCTATAGATGATTTTTACATAATTATGGTGTAATGAAATAAGTCAACACATCATTTCAATAGTTTTACCAAAATAATTTTACTACAGTACAAATACAGGAATTTTTTTTTTCAAAGTAATCTAAAAGCAAACAGTAAAAATGTTCCATGCGTATCGGAGAAAAAAGAGAAAACTCCAAAAAATGTATAATAAAACATAAGGCATCAGATCATGAACTAAATAAATTTAATTAGATAGCCATAAAAACACGAGATTGTTCGAACATACAATTTTAATTACATAACAAGGATGATAGTGCTAGTTAATACTTAGCAACGAGTCATTGAAATTCAGAAACTGTATTAATTTTAGTTCTGTTTGGCAAATACAGATTATGCACCTTCTCAATTTTAAATAATTTTAAGGTAATTTATAAAGTAATATATAAATTATTTTAAAAGTATGGTATTTTATTTAATATTCTTGCAAATTATTAAGTAGAAAAGTAAAATTATTAAGAATGATTTAATGTAAATTCTATCCAACATAACTTGTGTTTGGTATTTGTTCTTCTTGTTCCATTTCTATTTTGTTTTTTTAATTTTACTTCTCCTATTCACTTCTTGATAAATAAAAATAAGTTAACATTTGAGAGGAAAATAAATAAATCTGTAATAAAACAATACAGTGGATCTCATTATATATATATGTATATATATATATATATATATATATATGTATATATATATATATATATATATATATGTATATATATATATATATATATATATATATATATATATATATATATATATGTATATCACCTGTAACACACCCCAACAGATAGAAACAATAATGCGTTTTGGCTACCTGAAATGTACTGTCATTATATTTAACATTGTATTCTTCTACTTAATATATTGGCTTCTGGCTTACAAATTGAGAAAGCAGAATTTTTCTGCTATTTTTTGTAATGTTGTTAGTAGTACTAGTAACCTTAGCATAAAAATACACATGTTATTATCATTAAAAATCAAAATGTTGAGTGGTTAAAGAAGTATAAATGACAAACCATTCTATAAAATCCCAAGCCTCATGTTGAGCTGGTATATGTTTAAAAACTCCAGCTTCACACTATTTTCAGATACTTCCCAGATACAATTTATTCACTTACTTTCTTTAGCTTTAAAAGACTGAAAATCTTTTATAAAAGCACAGAGGAAATACATAATAGTAGTGGTTTCAATTGCTGCAAATGGATTGCATACAAGCAGATCAAACAATAGTTTAACAGCTATCCAGGTATCCAGAAGAGCAGCTCTACTCTACCTTTGTAAATGGAGAAAGGGCCCTTGTTGTGAAGTCAAAGAAAGCCTGGAAAACATCTCAGTAAAGATAAAATTGGTCATCCTATATATCTCACTGTCTGATTTTCCAAACACAGTTCAATTTTCCACATACTTTGCTTACTGAAATAGAAGAAATATTAGCCTTTGTTTGATGATGGGCTTCTACAAAAATAATCTGTGCAACTGAAACCAACAAAATGAGGGCATTAACTATGAATCTCTAATTACCTTTCTAATCAGAGTACTGGTTCCTGAAATCGCTTGTCCTGGTAACACTGGAGAAATCAACATTGGACTCACACATGGACATCCATGGCAAATGAAAGACAGGAAATCAATGTTGTGTACAGTACAATATTGTTAAGCACAGTTACCTGAATGTACAATAGAATACCAGAACTTGTTCATCAGATCTAACTGTAACTCTGTACCTGTTGACCAATCTCTTTATCCCCCAATCCTCCCTACTCTCCTCACTCTCTAGTAACCACTATTACTTCTATGAGATCAGCTTTTTTACATCTCACCTATAAGTGAAATTATGTGGTGTTTGTCTTTCTGTGCCTCGCTTATTTCACTTAACATAATGTCCTCCAGTCTCATCGACGTTACTGCAGATGACATAATTTCATGCGTTTTTATCTCTGAATAGTATTCTGTTGTGTATATACCACATTTTCTTTATCTAATTAACAGGTTAATTCCGTAACTTGGCTATCATAACCAGTGCGGCAATAAACATGGGAGTGAAAATTTCTCTTTGACATATTAATTGCATTTCTTTTGGATATCTACCCAATAGTAGGATTGTTCCTGGATTATTTGGTAGTTCTGTTTGTAATTTTTCAGGAATATCCCTACTTTTTACTATAATGGCTATATTAATTTACATTCCCATCAAAAATGTGTAAGAGTTCTTCTTTCTCCATATCTACACCAACATTTGTTATTTTTTGTCTTTTGGTAATAGACATTCTAATTGGGGTGTGACTGTGGTTTTGATTTCTATTTCCTTGATGATTAGCGACACTGAGCATTTTTTCGTATACCTGTTGGTCATTTTTAGACATTTTTTGAGACATATTTTTGAGACAAATTTGTTTATATCTCTTGCTTATTTTTTAATTGTTTTTGTTTTGCTCTTGAGGTGTTTGAGTTTTATTTTGAAAATAAAACCTCTGTCAGAAGTATAGTTTGTAAATATTTTCTCCCATTCGTAAATTTTCTCTTCATCCTGTTTTTTCTTTTGTTGTGCAGAAATTTGTTAGTTTGATGCAGTTTCATTTTCCTATTTTTGCTTTTGTTGTTTGTGCTTTTGACATCTCTAAATTCTTTTCCAGCACCAATATTATGGAGTGTTTTCTTTTTCTAATGTTTTATTGCTTTGGGTCTTACATTTAAGTATTTAATCGATTTTTAGTTGAATTTCGTATATGGCAAGAGATAGAGGTCAAGCTTTATTCCTTTGCATACAGATATCCAGTTTTCTCAGCACTATTTAGTGAAGAGACTATACTTTCCCTAACGTACGTTCTTGATATCTTTGTCAAAAGTCAATTGGGTATTATTGAGTGGATTTATTTCTGTGTTCTCTATTCTGTGTCATAGGTCTATGTGCCTATTTTTATGCCATTATCATGCTCTTTTGTTCACCATAGCTTTGTAGTATATTTTGAAGTCAGGCAGTGTGATGCTTTCAGGTTTTTTGTTTGTTTGCTTGGCTCTCAAAATTGCTTTGGTCGTTCAGGGAATAGTATTCTGATTCTATAGAATTTTAAAATAGTGTTTTCATTTCTGTAAAAAATTACCATTAATATTTAAATAGTAATTTTCATTGCATCTATAGATTGCTTTGGGTAGTATGGACATTTTAATAATGTTAATTCTTCCAATTAATGAACTCGAGATATATTCCCATTAATTTGTGTCTTCTTCAAATTTTTCATCCACAATATATAGTTTTTGTTGTAGAGATCTTTTATCTCCTTGGTTAAATTTAAACATAGGTAACTCATTTTATTTTGTAGCTATTGTAAACAGAATTGTTTTCTTGACTATTTTTTTTTCAGATAGTTAGCTATTAGCATGTAAAAATGCTACTAAATTTTGTATGTTGCTATTGTAACCTGCAACTTTATTGAATTGGTTTATTGGTTGTAACACTTTTTTTGGTAGAGTCCCTAGGGTTTTCTCTGTATAAAATCATGTTGTCTGCAAAGAGGTAAAATTTGACTTCCTCCTTTTTTAACTTAGATGCATTTTATCTTTTTATCTTGCCTTATTTCTCTGGCTTGGACTTCCAGTGCTGTGTTGAATAAAACTGCTGAAACTAGGCTTTGTTTCAGGTCTTACAGGAAAAGATTGCTGCTGTTCCCTGTTCAGTATGCTGTTAGCTGTGGATTTGTCATATGTGACTTTTAATATCTTGAGGTATGTTTCTTCTGTACCTAGTTTGTTGAGGGTTTTTATGAAGAAAGACTGTTAAATTTTATCAAATATTTTATGTCTATTAAAATGATCATTTTTATTTTATTCTTCATTTTGTTAATATGATGTATCACATTTATTGATTTGTGTATGTTGAACCATTTTTGCCCTCCTGGGATATATCCTACCTTATCACAGTGAATGAACTTTTTAATGTGCTATTAAATTTGATTTGCTAGTATTTTGTTAAAGATTTTTTCATCTATGTTTATCAAAGAGATTGGCCTGTAGGCTTTTTGTTTTGTTTTGTTTTGTTCCTTCTCCGGTTTTATTATCAGTATAACACTGATCTCCGGGAATAAATTTGGAAAAGTTTCCTCCTCTTCAATTTTTTGGAAAAGTTTAGAAAGAATTAGTATTGGCTCCTCTTAAATATTTGGTAGAATTCGGTAGTGAAGCCTTTAGGTCCTGAGCTTTTCTTTGAGGGGAGACATTTTGTTACTAATTTAATCTCATTACTCATTAATGGTATGCTTAGATTTTATTTCTTCTTGATTCAACTTTGGTAGGTTGTATGTGTCCATGAATTCATTTATTTCTTCTAGGTTTTCCAATTTGGTAAAATATAGTTGTTCATAATAGTCTTTTATGATTTTCTGTATTTCTGTGGTATCAGTTGTAATATAATCTTTTTTATCTTTAATTTCATTTATGTGGGACTTCTCATTGTTTAAAATTAGTCCAGATACAGTTTGTTAATTTTATTTACCATTTTTAAAAGAAACAACCCTTATTACTCTTTGGTATTTTTTTACTCTCTATTTAATTTATTTTTGTTCTGATTTCTATTTTTTTCCCCTTCGCTAACTTTGGGTTTAGTTTGTTCCTGTTTTTCTAGTTACTTGAGGTGCAATGTTAGGTTTCTTTATTTGATACCTCTCCTTTTTCAATGTAGGTATTTATTGCTATAAACTTTCCTAAAAGAATAGCTTTTGCTGTATCTCATAGGTTTTAGTATCCTGTGTTTTTATCTTTGTCTTGTTTTTTTTAATTTTCCTTTCAATTTCTTCACTTACACATTAGTTGTTCAGCAGTCTGTATTTTAATTTTCATATATTTGTAACGTTTCTGAGGTTTATCTTGTTAATTTCTAGTATTAAACAATTGTGATCAGAAAAGAAAGTATATCTTATTTTGATCTTAAATTCATTAAGAATTGTTTTGTAGCTTAACATATGATCTCTCCTAGAGGATGTTCTCTGTGCAGTTGAGAAAATTGTGTATTTTGTAGCTGTTGAATAGTATGTTCTGTCAATGCCTATTAGGTCCTTTTGGTCTGGAGTGTAATTTAAATCTATCTCGTATGTTGTTGATTTCCTGTCTGGATGATGTGTCCATTGATGAAAGTGAGTTGTAGAAGTTTGCTACTCTTACTGTATTGCACTCTATCTCTCTTTTTAGATATATGAATATTTGACTTTTATATTTACGTGCTCTGATATTGGGGCATATATAATTATAATTGTTATATTACCTTGCTAAATTGATCCCCTTATCATTATTTAATGACCTTCTCTGTGACTTTTTACAATTTTTATATTAAAGTCTATTTTGTCTCATGTTAGTATAGCCATTCCTTCTCTTTTTGGTTACATTGCATGGAATATCTTTCTCCATCAACTTCATGTCAGTCTGTGTCCTTACAGGTAAAGTGAGTCTCTTATAGGCAGAATATAGTTGGGCTATGTTTTTAAATTTCATTCAGCCACACTATATATTTTATTGGATAATATAATCTATTTACACTCAAGGTAATTATTGCTAGGTAAAGTCTTACTATTGCCATTTTGTTAATTGTTTTCTAAGTCATTTATTCTTCTCTTACTACCTTCTTTTGTGGTCAAATGACTTTCTCTAGGAGTATGCTTCATTCCTTGCTTTTTCATTTTGATTGTATCTATTATAGGTTTTTGCTTCATGTTTATAATGAGGCTTACATAATCATCTTATGGTTTTATTAAGGTTATATTAAGCAGATAACAACTTAATTTTGATCACACACACAAAATGAAAGAAAAACAAAAGGAAATAAATACTACTCATTACTTTGAGGCCTGAACTCTGACCTTCTGTTTTGTTTTTTCCCAAGTTCCTATCTAAGAGAACAGGGGAGTCATGTCCTACAAACCATACAATCTCTTAAAATATATTTTTTTATTAATCCAGTATAATGTGGCTTACTTTTTCTTTTTTTTTCCACAGAGTCTCACTCTGTTACCCAGGCTGGAGTGCAGTGGCTTGATCTCAGCTCACTGCAACCTCTGTCTCCCGGGTTCAAGTGCTTCTTCTGCCTCAGCCTCCCGAGTAGCTGGGACTACAGGCGTGCACCACCACGCCTGGCTAATTTTTGTATTTTTAGTGGAGATAGGGTTTCACCATATTGGCCAGGCTGGTCTTGACCTCCTGACCTTGTGATCTGCCTGCCTTGGCCTCCCAAAGTGCTGGGATTTCAGGTGTGAGCCACCATACCTGGCCTTGGCTTACTTTTTAACCTGACGCAGGTATAACAACATCACATGGCAGATAGCAGATCCCTTGATCTTAACTCAAGCATTTCTTTTACTGACCTCGAGTCTTTAAACAATAGCTTAACTCTCTCAACTGATTGTCAACTAAAGAATTTTTAAAACCCACCTATGACTTGCAAGCCCTCACTTCAAGGTATCTCACCTTTACAGGCAAAACCAATGTACACTTTCCATATTTTCATTTATGATTTTACCTGTAATGCCTGTCTCCCTAAAAGGTATAAAACCAAACTCTAACTAGACCACTTTGGGTGCACTTTCTCAGTACCTCTTGAGGCTCTGTAATACAATACCAGGCTTCAGTCACTCAATAAATATCTTAAAATATTTTGGGAGAATTTGGTTTACCAACATCACTTCCTCCCCCTTGCAAATTTGAATACATGATATAATAACTTACGTTTGTTTATAGTGCATATTCCTTAATAAATTATTGTAGTTTTATCTTTTAACCTTCATACTAAAGATATTAGTGATTTATACCCTTATCATTATATTATTAGAGTATTCAGAATTCCACTGTGTACTTCCTTTTACTAGTGAGTTGTACACAGGCATACCTCATTTTATTGCACTTTGCTTTATTTTGCTTCACAGATATTGCATTTTTTTTGCAAATTGAAGATTTGTGGCAACACTGTTGTAAGAAAGCCTATGAACCTATTTTCTCAACAGCATGTGCTCACTTTGTGTCTTTTTGGTAAATTTGCAATATTTCAAACTTTTTCATTAGTGTTATATCTGTTCTGTTAATATATGATCAGTGATCTTGGATGTCACTTTTATAATTGCTTTGGATCACTATGAATTTCACCTATTTGGAATAGTCAACTATTTCTGACTCCTCCACAGAGCAGTTGTTCCCCATCTTTCTTCCAGTCATCAGGCCTCGTTATTTCCTGAGACATGACAACATTGAAATTAAGCCAATTAATAACCCTACAATGGCTTCTAAGTACTCAAGTGAAAAGAAGAGTTGCATGTCTTTTGCTTTAAAGCAAAAGCTAGAAATGAGTAAGCTTAGCAATGAAGATGTGTCAGAAGCCAAGATAGGCTGAGATAGGGCTTCTTCCACCAAAGTTGTTAGCCACGTTGTGAATGCACAGGAAAAATTCTTCTAAGCTTGGTGCAGTGGCATTATCATAGCCAATATTATTATCAAATACTCACAAGAAAATTTAAGTACATATATACTTTTTTATGTCACATTCTGTCATAATGACTTCTAAATTACTATCATTTAATTTCAGAGCCCTGTACACTCTCAATTTCAATAGGGAAAATTATTTTCTATGCTCACATAGAATTTGGTGGTTGACGTCATGTAATTGGGAAGAATGAAGTGATGAGAATGACCACCGTCCTGCCATAAACAGATAGAGATTATGATTGCATCATGTTCTGATAAACATTTAAGCCTTGGATAACTAAAGGAAGACTATAGGTGTCAAATATAAGTTGAGAAAATTAAGTGAGGTGTCCGATGTTGACATCATGACAAAGAAGAGAAGGGAAAACCTGGATATACGCACGAAGGGCTCACTAAGGGCTTAGAGCTAAAATTCTAATGCCCATGCAGGGGCAGGACACTAATAAAGTAGCTAAAACTTCAAAGTGTTAAATACAAAATAAGAAAAGGGACAAACCATACTAAGACAGAGGAAAAATATAGACTGAATAAAGGTATAATACACCATATGATAATCAAAAATATATATTTTAAAATTCGATTTACTGTATCTGACTCGGCAAACTTAAACTTGAAAGCTCTGTGATGCCTTCAGTTACTTTAAAAATTTTCCCAATGATTTCGGTGATTTCCAGTTTTCTTGTCATTTTGAGGATAAGAATTAATGAATACTGTTTTATTTCCAAATATATAATCTGGCAAGGTATTTTGTTAGGTGCCATTGATCTGGGTATGTCTCATAAATGATTAAATAATTTAAATGATCATTTCCAAGGATACATTCAATCTAAAGGGGGAGCTCTTATGTATTGGTTGTATAAGCATTTTGCATGTAGCTTACACATATAAATGTGATGGCTGATGGAGTTGTACATGCAACTTACACATCACCTTCTTATTTCCAGTGATATTTCAAGGAGTACACCATTAAATGTTCTTTTGAACTGCTCCCAATTACATCATCACTTCAATAAATGTCGGTAAGGACACATTTTGACTCATTTCAAGGGTCAAGACTTAATCCAAGGTAAAGCTGAGTACCACATATCTGAAATTACATCTTGTAACTTCAGCTTACAATATAAATATGATTTTTAATCCATAACTGGGTCCATGCCACTAATTAAAAACATTATATACAGAAATTATACAACTCCAATGTTATTAACAATTAGCACACATTTTATGTATGTTTAACTTTTTAGTACTCATTGAAGGTGGAATTATGTTGTACAATGTCAGCTTTATGTATTAATATGATTATGTTCAATTGTAAGAGGAAGGCACACAATTAAAATTAGCTCTACATAAAGGATTAATTGCTACTCCTATTGGAACAGATAGCGTGATTAATTTTATAATGACTGATTTTATAAATTTATGATGGAGCTCTGTTTCTCTACTTTTTGACTTTGCTATCCAGTACCTTGTTACTTTATTCTACAGAAATTTTATCTATGACTGCCAGCATTTCCAGATGTACATGATTCCACTTATACAATTTGCAGTATCTTAGAAATGAGATTTTCTCTCTGTCATCTTCAGAGTGTAGAGGAAGAGGTCTGATCATTCATGTTACTTTGCTCATACCCACATAGACCACAAAGACAAAGGCTTGAACCACAGTTTGAGTCTTGGCAGAATGCCTTGTAATCCTGCCACAAAAGGAGAAGGTGAAGATCTGTAAAGGTTCCTTCAAGGCCTGTTACATGCACCTCTGTGTCTACCTGTTGAGGCTGTCAGGAGAGAGTCTTCATTGCCTCTCAGCTTCTAATAAAGTGTGGGGCTGTCTGTCCCATACTCCTTGAAATAGAGCTGTGGAATACAAGACCACTTAGCTGCAGTGTAGAGTGGACTCCTCATCAATGGAATATCTTTCCTACAACTCACATGACAGTTTTGGCCCCTTTTGTTTGTGTCATCCCTTTTAGTGTATGGGACAAGGATAATGAGGAGGTGGCACCTTAGGCTTATTCTTCTTTTCATTGTCTAGGTAAGCAATAAACTGCCTAATGTAAAAATGGCTGTCTCATTAAACCATTACCAGTCAAATCAGTCAGGCCTTGGCCTTGCTTTGTTGTATGCGTTATTGACACAAAAATAAAATGCCCATGCACGTTGTCATGGAAAGAGAGAGAGAGAAGAGAGAAAATTTTTTTTCATAATATGGAGAAGAAATTCAAAAACTATGGAAGACAGAAATATTAAATTGCATCTAATATATAACTCAACAAAAGAGACTTTTTAAGACTTTTAGAAAAATCTTACACATTTTGTATGTATTCGTTTTCTATGGCCACTGTAACAAATTGCTAGAAATTTAATAGTTTAAAACAACACAGATTTATTATCTTCCAATTTTGGGTTGCTCTAGGGAAGAATCCATCTCCTTGCCTTTTCCAGCAACTAGAGGCTGCTCACATTTATTGGCTCATAGTTCTCTTCTCCCATTTTCAATACCAACAGGATTGCATCTCTCTGACCATTCTTCTGTCATCAAATCTGTCTCTCACTACAGCTGAAAGATGTTCTCTGCTTTTAAGACTCATGTAATTAGATTGGGCTCACACAGATAACAATAATCCAGGATAATCTCCTTATCTCAAGGTCCTTAGTGTAATGACATCTTCAAAGTCCCTTTTGCCATGTAAGGTAATATAGTCACAGTTTCTAAAGATTAGGATGTGGCCATCTTGCAGGGTTGGGAGGGAGGTTATTCTGCCTATCACACTTTACTCTTGCCGTGAGAAATTGCTGAGAGAAGTGCTCAGCTGTTTTTTGTTTGTTTGTTTGTTTTTAATTGTGGTTGTGCTTACTAAATTTGCAATGCTAGCGGGAGAGGATAAAATTAAAATTGAGTCTACAGTTCTAAAATGCATGGAAGAAAACTAGAGTTAACACAAACAATTGCTAGCAGAAAAAAAAAATGAGAATCAAAGTATCACGGTCATTGTGAAAAGCAGAAGAACAGATGGACCATTCAGCACTCAAAGTGGTCTGATGTGCAGAACCCTGACTGAAAATGTATGGCTTTCATGAATGAAATCAACAGGCAGCTAAGCAACCAAACAACAGGGAACTAAGTAATGGGTAAAGGTAAGATTTCATAATTGAAAACATCTGTGTCACCACATGAACCTCAGTGCTCTAAGAATCATGGCCCTATCAGGTCTCCAAACCTATGCAACAAATCTGAGCATTGTTACAAAACGCGTGGGTGAGCCTTCCAAGGAATTTTGCTATTGCATCTGATATACTTACAGGAAACAATGACCTGACCCTTCCCCAAACGCCATTGCCACTCACTGTCTAACCAAGTAATTAACTCCAAATTAATCCAATTTTCAGCATATAACTTTAGTCCTCTCGAATGAATGCAGCCACACCAGGTGATGAATGGAGTCATCTCTGAAGACCTCTTTGTTGTAATCCAGAGTTGCCCTAAATGAACCTGTGTATATTTACTCATTCCCTGAGGACGGCAGAATGTCAATTTTGTTTTAATGTTATGATATGCATAGAAAAACGAGAATTCTTAAAGCTCTAGGTAACAAGCCAGGGGTTGTGGCTTCCAAAGTCTCTTTGCTGGTGCTCCATGGGCTAAGAGGATCAATATACTGCAGGACATTATATCCCAGCCTTAGCAAACCACTGTGTTATGGCAATCTAACTGGAAGATTCTGCTTCAGGAAGTAGCTGGAATTGATACACTCAGCAGCCCACAGAACACCACATTGGCAACTTTAAATCATGTTGTAAGAAACCTCATAGCAGAAATGTCTAAACACCTGTTCTCATACATCATACCTGTAACACACATCCACACCTTTTTAGATGAAATGTCACTAGCAGAGTTGATTCTCACTTCGTATTGGTCATACAGTGTTTTTTGTTGCCAGCATCTATTCTGATCTTTCAGCATCAATTTGACTGTTTAGTGTCCTTGCTTAACCCAATGTTGAATATTTTAAATATCACTCTAGCCGCAATAAAAGATGTCTAATATGCAGATGTTTTGATTCCTTACACATTTCTTTTAATTCTTTATTTTGTTTACATAAATATGTAAAATGAAAATTAAAAAATGACAAGGCTTGACAATGACGCCACAAGTGTTAACCTTAATGACTTCCTGTCCTCCACTGGAGATGCAGTTTTGAACACATTCCCTTTTCTAGAGCATAGGAAGAGCACTTAGAATTTGGAATAATACTATTAATCTGGTAAAGTTACGTTTCTTGGTATTAGAGGTCTGCAAACTAAAACAGGGGTAGTGAGGGCAAGCTGGCCTGCTATCTGTTTTTGTATATGGCTTTATTAGAACTCAGCAATAATCATATATTTACATATTATCTATGGTGGCTTTTGCATTGTAATGGCAGATGAGTATTTTCAACAAAGTCTTCATGGCTCACAACGGTTCAAATGCTCTCTGTTCCTTTACAGAAAGAGTATGTTAATACAGTAACAAGGAGAGAAGCATGGGAAATGAAGAGTTCTTTAGAGATAGGCAAGCATGAGTTAAGAAAGCATGAGATAGGCAAGCTGGCTTGCTTCCTATGTTGATGTGGCCTGGAGAAAAAAAGAACAAAAGCCCGGATACTCAGGCTGTAACTACAGCCAATCAACATCAAAGGCCCAAGAAGCTATTAAACGTAAGTTTCTGCTTTAGGGGACTAGGGACTTGAAGCTAGGCTTAACTTTCAACTCATAGTGACCTTTTCCTTATTTTAATGCTAAAAATCACTCCCAGGGGTGGAGATGTAAGATCCTAATGATACATGTTTTGTATCAAGAAGCGTGTTAAACCACCACACATGCACTAGAAAAATCCCACCTCTACATGCCTCTTGTAAGAAGTAAGTTCCCCTTACTTTTTTTTTGTTTTTTTTTTGTTTTGTTTTGTTTTTTGAGACAGAGTCTCGCTCTGTCGCCCAGGCTGGAGTACAGCAACACGATCTTCGCTCACTGCAACCTCCTCCTCCAGGTTCAAGCGATTCTCCTGCCTCAGCCTCCTGAGTAGCTGGGATTGCAGGTGCCTGCCACCACGCCTGGCTAATTTTTGTATTTTTAGTGGAGACAGAGTTTTGCCATGTTGGCCAGGCTGGTCTTGAACTCCTGACCTCAGATGATCCACCCACCTCAGCCTCTCAAAATACCCTTACTTTTCCTTACTGTAGAGCCCCATGAAACAGGTGTCCCTAACCACGGGGCCACAGACCAGTACCAGGCACCAGTCCGTGGCTTGTTAGGAACCAGGACACACAGTTGATTAATCAAACTTTTGAGAGACTGAGAGGCTATATGTTTTCAGCAATCTGTTATTTTGATTATTTTACTAATCAGCCTAACTACAAATATTAGATTACTCTGGCTTGGCGAATATTAGAGCAGATATTATGGAGAAATAGGAGTAAATTAACAATTACATAGAAGTTGTGGAGGGCTTAGAAGGAAATTAAAAACTTCCAATATCAATGAATTTCAAACAAATTTTTTTTCCATAAAGTAACACTGGAAAATTGTTGTTAAAACCATATAATTAATACAGATACTGTGTACTCACGCTAAGTATTACTGACACGTAACATCCCAACACTTTTCTATTAACCTACTCTGTTTGAGAATGTTTGCAACCTCAAATTTAGGTCTGCTGGATAGTCATGCACTGGAGTGAATTGAAACCGACTGTGAATGAATATTAGGCCAGAGGTATTTTGAAGAAAAATAACGGAATATTATTCCAGCTCAGTTATCAACAAAAAAATCCGTTGATTTTGACTTATGCTTCCATAACTATAACATTTTATGTTACAGCATATATTCGATTTCACAAATTCAGTATCAATGGCTTTTACTACTGGCAATTGGTCATGGATATCATGATATGAAATATTTCAGTTGTGCAAAATCAAACCAGTTTTCTGTTGAAGAAAGATAACTAAACCTTGAGCATTGCCTTTTCATCTTAATACGGCATTGATGTCCTTGACTCGTCAACTATATTCATTTATTACAAAACTGTAGGATATTACATGAGAGTCATTAAATTCACTAAGAAACAACAAAGTTTTGTTTTTAAGCATCTCAATTATTAAAAATTTCCAGTAAACATGAGTAGAAAGCAATCAGAGCTCCATGTATGAACTGCCAAAATTTTAGGTATATTTCTATTCAAATATTGTAACATCTTGTTTCTTCTATTCTGGTATCAAGTGTTTCTAGATACCCTCAAATCCATAAAAAGTCATTTTGGGACTGGCACGATGGCTCACGCCTGTAATCCCAGCACTTTGCGGGGCTGAGGAGTGCGGATCACCTGAGGTCAGGAGTTCAAGACCAGCTTAGCCAACATGGTGAAACCCTGCGCCTACTAAAAACACAAAATTAGCCAGTTGTGATGGCAGATGCCTGTAATCCCAGCTACTTGGGAGGCTGAGACAGGAGAATCATTTGAACCTGGGAGGTGGAGGCTGCAGTGAACCGAGATTACACCACTGCACTCTAGCCTGGGCAACAGAGCAATACTCCATTTAAAATAAAAAATAAAAATAAAAAATACAGTAAAAGCCATTTTGCTTTACTAAACTTATCTCTGTTTACCCATATTCTTGTCTCAGTTTCCTGATGACTCAACCAAGCTTTCTTCTGGCAACTGGAAAATAAAGGAAATTGTGTTAGGAGCTTGAAAACATTCCTACTTTTGACAGATTTTCTTTAGGATTTAAGAATCAAAATTTTTGCCTTTAGCTTTTGACTGGTTTCTTATTTAAAAATGGGCTGATCATAGAACCACCAGAAATATAGATCACAGATTAGTTTTCCCTCCAAGGCCGAAATTCAATCCATTTTTTTTCTCCTCATCAGATTTCTCCTCTACATAACTGCTCCCAACATGTATCAACTCATCTTCCTCTCAGATGTTATCTCAGTAGCCTTGTCATCAGGTAATCTTATGTAACATATGATATAATTGCTTAAAATTAACAAAACATCTTTAGCAAAGCTTTCATAATCTGCTCCAAGCTGAATTTTCCAGCTTAAACTTTATGTTGTTCTCTTTGCCCTTTTCTTCTACCATTTTCTTTTTAGGCAATAAGACTCATCAAACCTTCAAAACATAATTCAAATTTTGCCCCTACTGAAGGGCATTCCATGTTGATTGTTGATTTCAACACTGGGACCATCAGTAGTCAGCCATTCTCAGTGAACTCATCTCTGTGTAATAATCAAGATTTTCTGTTAAGGCCCTTTTATTATTCTGTGCTTGTTTTACTTCTAAATACACATAAACGTACACAAAATAAAACAGTGGGAATTTTTAAGAAAAATTATCACTCCTAACATGGTAAGTAGATAAAGTTTACTGAGTATTTTTTTTTTCTTGACTTGGACAATATATTTTTGACCACTTTACAAAGAAATATACTGATATAAAGCTTATTTTCTGCTGTTTGTAAGTAATCCCAGTTCAGTTGGTAAATCCACATTAAAAATACTTCTCTGGAAGTAAAGGCCTCATAGTCAGTAATGTGCTGGATGGATTCTTATTTGGATCGTTTTTCTATAATGGTCTGAAGTATTTCTACTTTAAATCAAAGTTTTATAACTTTTTTGTCTCTGGTTTGAGTTGTAAATCTCATTTCTTCTGCTACGTTTTACACTTGCCAATGTTGCTGAGGCCAGTATCTAAAGGAAGCCTTTCATCATCATTTAAATGTGTTCACATGTGAGATCTAGAGATCCCCTGTCTCAGTTGAGTCTCACTAACTCATCAGAACTAAAGCCATGAAATGCAAGTTAAATCAACAAAAAGATTTTCAAAAGCAAAATCAATATATCATTTATGTGTAATTTTTAGTTGAAAATTCAGAAAACAAGTATTTATTTTTCATAGCTTGGTTAGCATTTAAAAATGTACAACTTTTAAAAAAATGTAACAGCTTAAAACAATGCAAATTTATATCAACTGTTCTCATGGCCGAGTGGTTGGGCATAACCTAACTGGGTCCTCAGCTCAAGGTCACACTAGGCGTTTGTTCAGTGTGCTCTATTCTTATCTGCAAGCTTGTTCAGAGAATATTCTACCTCCAGCATCATGTAGGTGGTTAGTAGCTTTCATTTGCTTGCAGCCCTGTGCTGAGGGCCCTGGCTTCTTACTGGTTATTGGCTGGAGACTGCTCAGCTTCTAGAGGCTGACACCCTTTGTCTGAAGTTCTCTGAAGCTTTGCAACATGGCAGCTCACGTTTTCAAAATGAGTAGGAGAATCTTCCTATCTTTAGGAAGACCCTATCCCTCCTTAAAAGGTTTTATACTCCAGAATAATATCCTGCTTGTTATCCTGTGCATCAGTTGACATAAGTGAACTGATTTGGGATTTTCATTATATCTGCAAAATCCTTTCAACTTTATCACATAAAGTAACCTTATCACTGGAAGGTCATTTCATTGTATTTGTAGGTCTTACCACACTCCAGGGGCAAGTATATATCCTGGGGATCATCTTAGAATTCTGCCTAGAACAGATGATTTAAAATATTTAAACTAATTAACATTATTGAAATTTAATGGTATGAGACCTGGGTTTTACTAGCTTTGCAAAAGTATTCATGTAGACCTACAGGCAGGACACCAAACCTTTCTGAAAGTCACTTTCCTAATTTCAGACATTAGGAATCTAGGTCAAATAAACACAAAGGTCACTACTGGTAACTTACATGCATAAGCTGACACTTATAAATACAATTTTAGTAACTTGGAACAAGTGATTCATTAGGTTGATGCAAAAGTAATTGCAGTTTTTGCCATTGAAAAAGACTCAATCTGAACTGAATTGATGAATATTAAGACATCAACAATGGAGGAATTTTTTTCAAGAGTTGGAAATCATAGCAGTTGAACTTTTGTAATCTATAATTGACTTAGCATGCTATCAGGAATCAATTACGTCTACATAATGCTTAAAGTTTTCCCTATATTACAATGCTTTTACACCAGATTGCATGACTATTAGATTTGAGAACATTTGAAAAGCTAAGCTCTATTTTCCTAGATGTTTCTAGGACATGTTATGTTTCTTAATTATTTTAGCTTCAATCATGCAGATATTACCTATATCTACATTTCTATAACTCTCTTTCTCTCATATATATCTACATGTTATATTGGAAGCACTTAAAACAATAAACCTATCAAATCCAAAGGAATGTTTTCAGCATTTGCAGAATTAATATATTTTACAGTTGAAACAATATATCTAAGGGGTGTTTGTGTGTGTGTTATGTGTGTGTTTAAGTGAAGCATAGCTGGTAACTTAATGAATGTTTTATCATACCAAAATAATAAAAACAACAGCAAATTAAAAGGAATTTTGAGTGACAGCTAGGCAAATCCAGCCTCTATCTATGCCTTTCACATGACTTCTGCCCCTGAGTCAAAGGAAGGGCCCTCTCATAACTCAGGGTCATTACCACAGCAATTATCCCTTTTCCTCCTGCAGTAGTTTTTCTAGTTCATTCTCATTAGCATACAAGCATCCTCTTATATTTCCTGTATTTAAAACATCATTTTCTACTTCCCTTTCTTCCACCAGCTGCACACTAGTTCTTAGCTTCTTTTGACAGCAAAATGCTTTGCATAACTATTCATTTCTCAGTTGTTAATTTTCTGCCTATTTTCCACTTAAGTCATTTCAGTCAAGTCTTCTCCACAGGTCTTCAAGTCATTCAATGCAATCAGCAATTTTCAATTCCCATATTACTTGATTTATCAATAGTTGATGGGGTAGATGGAAATTCTCCATCTTATATTTTCTTCCCTTTATTTCCAAGGCAACATGTGCTCTTGGTTTTCATTTTATCTGAATGACTCTTCTTTCTGTCTTCTTTTCTGTTTTTCTCTTCTTTGACAAACACCTGTATGCTGGCATACCAAAAAATCAAATATTGGGCCTCTTCACTGCTGAAAAAAAAAAGTTAACCATTGTCCTTATGAATGTAAATGCCCTATATTATGATGATTTTCAAATGTATTGCTTCCTCAGATCCTTCTAACTCCAATGGCCTATTGCATATAAACCATGGCTGAATAGCACCTCAAATTTAGCATTTCCAAAACTAACCCTATAATCTTTACTTTTACACGTGCATCTCCTTGTCTTTTCATTTGTCCTAGTCCGAATAACCTGGAAAGTGTATCCCAAGACAGATACCTGCATGGAGATAGCTTATTTAGAAGGTGTGATCCCACAGTAGATGAGTGCAGAACAGGGGAATTGCAATGGATAAGCTAAGTTTTTGGTGGAAGCAGTACCTAGAGCAGTACTGGGAGAGGGAGCCCGCCATACTACTGGGTCCACGTGGAACCTCCATCTTGCACCATGTTCTCATGGTGCAAGATTAAGGATTGGTTGCTCTCCATAGGTTAAATCATCCTCTTACTTGATTGTGGGATATCGTCTCTGAGGCAAATGTGCTCTGATAGGTAATAACCTGTAACATAAAAAATACACAAAAAAATGTACTCACTTATGTGATCCTATTGAAATTCTTCTCCTCCAGTCTCCCTTATCTTATATCGTCCAGTCATAATCCTTCTGTGTTTGTCAACCCTAGGTTTCTGTGTCTATCCTTGTCACAGGCATTTTCTCATTCTAAACAAATAGAATATTGCAGTCCATTGATCACAACATAAGTTTTACGTCACACCTTTAAGATTATTTTTAAAGCAATGACATTTTAAGGTTAATCTCAATATATTGCTTATTAAACAGGATTACAGTTTTTCCTCCTCCTTTAGTTGGTCTTGCAGAACCCCTGTGAAGCTACCGGGTTTAGTAGAAGCAGAGATGTCAGGACAGCATAAATGTCAGATAAATGCCATGGAGGGTGGAATACTTGATCATGTCACTTAAGTGAGTCATATGACCTGGTTAGGTGTGACCTTGATAGTGTCACTTTATAAGGTGGATGGCTGTGGTGCTTTCCTGACCTTATGGCCCAATGGATCTGTTAATAAATTGCTTATGATGGGAAGCTTCAGGTGTCCTTTGGTCAAGCACTCTATTTTTATGAGTGTACAGAAACAAACCAGGGAATATTTTGGAAAAGGGAATGATTCCTCTGCCAGAATAAAAACATGACCTTTCTCACCCTAGCATTGTTCCTGAAACTCTTCTATTGTGTCATACCAGAGACTTTGGCATGCCATTCTGATTCAACAGAGATATACTTGGCATAAATGGCTCAGCAATGTCACCTGCCTGAGCAGTAGGGCAGATTACATCTAGTTGGTACTTGTAATATAGCACTTTTTGCTTTGAGACTCACTCAAAATTGGCAGCCTTCCATCTGGAAAATATCATAGACAGTATTCCAAATGAGAACATGTGCTTATTCACCAGTGGTAAGCCAATTTGTTAACGCAGGGATGTATAAGGCACACAGGTCAAACTTTCTCTTAAAGGAAATGTTACAGAATGCTCCAAATTTTTGAAACTTTTATCAGTTCAACAGGGAGTTTATCTTTCGTCCTTGACAAGCATGTGTCTTACTAAGAATCTCTTATACTTGTCACATTCTGTTTGCTAATTTCAATTAGCTTGATGGCATCATTACAGTAAGGAGTGTGGATATTGTGCAGAACGTCAAGATTTCAAGACCTATTTTATGTGGTGACAGAGAGCAGGAGAATTAATACAGCTCTGTAGTATGATCATAAATGTGAACTGCTGTCTTTTGCACATAAAACTGAACTATTTTTAATGTTCAGTATTGATGGGAATTTAAAAATGCATTTCTCAGATCAATAACCACATACTAAGTAGATTTGTTCCAGGAAGATACCACATCCAGAACCAGATGCCCAAGTAAAGCTATCATCTGGCTTGGTTGATGTCACTCCACCCTTATCTACCACAGTCCATTTTGTGTGTGCAAAGCCTTGACACATGAATGGAATACGATATTATAGGGTTGGCCATTATGAAATTTTAATGTTTAAGACTGCTGTCTAATATGATTTCTGAGATCTTATTTTGAAAAGGAACTAAAATCACCACCTCTTAAAGATACTGATACTCTCATGTTCATTGACGCATTACTTACAATAGCCAAGATATGAACACAACCTAGGTATCCATCAACAGGCAAATGAATAAAACAAACCTGTGAGATACAGTTATGTCTCTCAATATGTATATATACATATAGAATCTATCTCTACTTAATTTTCTATATAATCCATATCTAATTCATGTATATAGAGAATATAATTCAGCCTTATAAAGGAGGACATCCTGCATTTGCCACAACACTGATGGACCTAAAAGATGCTATGCTAAGTGAATAAGCCAGGCATAGAAAGACAAATATTGCATGATCTCACCTATATGAGAAATCTAAAAAAAACCTCAGATATATGAAAATAGAGAATAAAACATGGTAACCAGCATTGGGGTGAGGGAAGAGGAAATGGGGAGACATAGCTTAAAGGATACAAATTAGCAAATATGTAGGATCAACAAGTAGAAACATCTAAAGTATAACAAGAGATTTGTAGCCAATAATAGATTTTTGCTAAATGAGTAGACTATAGCTGCTCTTGTCACAAGGGGAATAAAAATGAGTAACTGTGAGATGATGGATTTATTAATGTGTTTCCCTATAGTAATCTGCCAAGTCCAACCTGCAGACCATGACCAAGCGACAGATGAAAAAAAATGCGCTCAGACACAGATATCCAGTGAAAGAGCAGGCGAGGTGACAGGGGCCACCCACGAGTTGTAGCAGCCACGGCCATGACAAGCTGGCACTAAGGGCATTTATTTAGTACAGATTTAATGACAAAGGCTTTGAGTCAACACACTTGTGGGTAGTTAATATGGCCGCCCTTCTGGAGAACGCAGTCCAAAGAGTGGATGATTAAAGGCCAGGTTCTGAGGCCTAAGTAAACTAACTATTTAGATCAGTTTCTTGACATCCCCTTGTTATCTAATCTAAGCTCTTAAGAGAATTCAGCTGCCTTCAGCCAAACTCTCTTCTGAAGCTATGCAAACCCCTGGTTTTCCAAGAAGGTTTGCATTATTTTCCTGTAATTTCTCCTACCACCCTGACCAATGTCCTACAGTAATCATTGTATTATAAGTGTGTGTGTGTGTGTGTGTACATGCATATATATATATATATATATATATATATAGATACAGATATATATCAATAATGTTGTATTGTATACCTTAAACATACACAATAAAATTTGTTAAAAAATAAAAGAAAGAGGAGAAAGAGGGAGGGAGGAGATTCCATTTTGGTTGTAGTGAAATGATTGTTGTTTCAACTGGGCTCATCCTACCGCAATAGTTACTGAGGTCTGGAACCCAATATGAGGGCTCTGAGAGCTATTAAGTATATCTGTGCTAATTATTCACAGAGAAAATAACCCCAGAGAAAGTCCATGGGCCCACTCGACTCACTGCAAGATAAACTTGGCTCAAATGCTATTGCACACTTAGAATGTGTTCTTATTTTAGCTAGATATATCTAATGGCTTTTGGGGACATCTGATTATTAGTTCAGATTCTATTTAAAACAGTCTTTTAAAAAGTGGGCATTCTTTTTCTGCAGTTCATAGTTACCCTGGTAAGTGGCTGAAGACTTCTCTGAGGAAGAATCACTAGATTTTTATTTTTAAATACACTTATGGTGGCATTACATTGTCCTACTCAAAGAACCAGTTCTTGCCTTCAACCATACACTCTGAATCTTTGACCAAAGATTTCATGTCTTCCTTACTAGGTTTGGTCCTCTTATTACTGCTCCAACATTATGCTGAACTACTGTCTTCCCTGCTAAATTAGGACTGTCATTGCTAATCTTACTGGGACTCCAACCAGATTCTTTCCTCATTCCAAGTAGCAATTATATTAGCTAACTGGCTCTTGAAAGTATCTACATGTAACACACCTACTTTATAACATTCTTATTATAAAATATTTGTCTTGCTAAAATTTAAATATTGTCATAGATGTACAATACTGGATTTTGAATCTCAAGCAGATATGAATTTGTTTTTGAGTATATGATTTTGAGGAGAAAGAATCAAATGCCAGCCATCTTCCCTGGCTAAGCAACTGAATCTGAGGGCTTGTTGAAGATGAGACTAATATATTTGTGTAATTATATTGTCCATGAATAGCATAACAGATCTTTGGAATATATTTGTTTCATGATTCTATATGACATTTTCGAATTTGTCTCAGTTTTTATTTTTTTCTAGTCTACCTATTGACACAGAAATGTTCTGATGACCCTGAGAAATCTTTCTCTTTCACATGTTAGATTTGACTTGTCCTTTTCTTCTCTGTATTCCAATCACTTTGATGAAAAAGTGTTGTGTCAACCTTCCCCGTTTGTTTCAAATGATTTTCTTGTGAAAACATGGTAGATATCACACACTTATAAATGTGCAAATGCAGACAGCAATAACTTTCTATTAGTAAATATCTCCCCTATCCTGGTTAAGTACCTATTCAAACCTCTCATAAGTCAGATTGTCTGACCCTAAAATTATGCTTTTCTCTCAATATCATGTTGCCTTTTTGCCTACATGCCATCAACAAGGATTTTAAAAACCTGTTGAATTATTTTCTTAAACATTAGTTGTGATAGGAAAGATACTTGGAAGTATTCTAATGTGTGTTTTATAATAAACTAAAAGATCTAATACTTAACTCCTGTATTAGACCATTTTACATAAATTTATTTCTAAATCAATAACTAATCATACATAGATGCATATGCTCCAAGATATAGCATTTATTTAAGACCATGAGAATGTCAGTATGATAGCATATATCTTCAAAAACCTACTTTGTGACAGTAATGTAGAATGCTGTCTGTTACTTATTACCTATGTGACCTCAAATAAGTTAGTTGATCTCTGTAAACTTTAGTTTCCTCAGTTATAAAATGAAACTATGCTTTTAAGCTTGCTTGAATGTAGTTAAGATTAAATAAGATAAATTCTTTGATGTGCCTGGAACAGTAGACATTTAACAATTTTTATAAAACAAGATAAAAATATTTCATGCAGTGTTGAATTAAAATGAACAAACCTTGATTGCCTCTTACTTCTTTGAGTATATGTCCCTTTACATCAGAGTCAGGAATAAGTTACTAATAACTGAGTATCTCAAATTATGTAACCCCTATAACAAGATATGTAAACATGTGATATTTTGACAAATAATGCAGTGCAAAGATTTGTCTCATTCTGATAAAAGTTACATCTAACAGGAAATGCAATTTTTGAAATAATTCATAGAAGAACACATAGTTTTAAAGACACAATCTCTGGCTTTGTCTCCATTGATATGAAATGACTGGCAAATCTAAAAGTGTATATTTTCCTCTGAGTTTCAAAAGGTTATCTTTCAGTTTGATTTTAGGCTCTGTAAAATGTTGATAACAGCCTGTCAGAGTTGATGTGTTTACATTGATTTTCCATTGGGTAAGCCACATACATATTGTGTAAAGTGAGGGTCCTCAGAGTACCTTACTACGTTTTGAAACAAATTGCTGTTATTTTGTTCAAAATATTATTTTGAAAAAAAGAGCCATAAGACTGGCATCATCCATACCCTGAATATATTTATACTTTTTAAAATTATTGTCTTAATCAGGTAATTTACAATGAGCATAAGGAAATGTTGGAAGTGAATCATGAAATATATTTAGATTCTTTCACATCCTAGATATGCTGATTTTACAGTAGAAGAAGGAACATTTTCTACAAAAATGAAGATATATTAAAGATTATATTACTTTTTAAAAGTAAGTGAAAAATTTTTGAATTTAAAGTGCTCTTTAAAAATATATGCTTTCAATTCTGATGACAAAAT
This sequence comes from Homo sapiens, assembly GCF_000001405.40. NCBI lineage: Eukaryota > Metazoa > Chordata > Mammalia > Primates > Hominidae > Homo > Homo sapiens. The sequence goes on along the minus strand of NC_000005.10, from coordinate 26,677,401 downwards.
ATATTCTCATATATTTGGTATATACAGTTGTAGATTTACTGAGGATTTTCCTCAAAAATTGAGGAAGAGGGAGAGTTACCTACATCTCTATAGAAAAACAATAGCAACAACAAAAACTCTAAACCCTTGTCACAAGATGCAGTTACTATTGTCTCACTATCAAGAAAACTGAGACGTAATAGTAGTGGTACAAATGCCAACACTATTGAGAACAATAATTTGGAGTCTGTGAGAACAGGTTTCTCAGAGCACAAAAAAAGACAAAGCTTTCATTCAAAAAGAGCTAAAGCTTCCATCTTATCCTATAGCAAGCATTTTCTTTGTGTGGGATAGAAGTACATAATGTTTTAGAATCATTAAAGCAATGGAAATGTAAAAATGTCCTTTTGGAGTTTCAGGAAAGTATTCTTACTGATATGAACAGTAAAATTACCTTATTCATTATAATTCATTGACTAAATATAGATCTCTTACATAAAATTCTTCTGGGTATATTAAACTGAAAACCACTTTGATAATATCACGTGTCCATTTACATCAAGAAAAACTGTACTTACATATTTTTATTTTATTTTCCTTTATATCAATCTACCTCTTTAGTAATTTTCTCTCTTATAAATTGTCTCAAACTGGGGTTGAATATTTTGCCATCATCTTTTTGCAATTCTCTAATACATTTATAAAACTGAGATTATCAACACCACAAGTATGATTTTGAAATAATTTCCAAACTGTTTCTATGGACTTAATAATAACCAACTGAAAGAGCATTTTTTTCCTAGGATAACAGATAACTCACATTTTTCTTTTTACCTATATTCCTAAAGCTGTCATTTATTTTAGTTATGTAGGCTGTTGGAGAATATCTTTTCTTGAATTCTGCCTATACCATTCTTTAAAGTACTAAGCTTAGCTTTCAGTATATTTTTGTTAAAGGTAATAAAAATAGTAAAACATTCAAATGAATCTAGAAAAGATAAAATATTAACAGGAAATTTCATAAGTGAAGCTTACTATGTTTTTTTATTTGTTTGTTTTGAGACGGAATTTCTCTCTTGTTGCCCAGGCTACAGTGTAATGGTGCGATCTCGGCTCACTGCAACCTCTGCCTCCCGGGTTCAAGCAATTCTCCTGCTTCAGCCTCCCAAGAAGCTGGGATTACAGGTACCCACCGTCACGCCTGGCTAATTTTTGTATTTTTAGTAGAGACGGGGTTTCACCATGTTGGCCAGGCTGGTCTCGAACTCCTGACCTCAGGTGATCCACCCCCCGCTTGGCCTCCCAAATGCTGGGATTACAGGTGTGTGCCACCACAGAGAGCCAAGGCTTACTATTTATATCTTTTTGTTAATATTTTTCTATAGTCTTCATCTTATCTAGTATTATAAATGAAAATGTTTGAATGGTTAAGATTGCTTCATAATTAAAATATTACCATAAAATTTCCACACTTTTATTTAATCCTAATTATTTAACAACTTATTTTACAAAGTGTATTTTAACCTAAATTCAAGAAAACTTCCAAAAATTTAGCTTATTTTTTAATTAATAATTTTCTGACAGTATTATACAGCATTCTATATATTACTGGTGTTAAATTAAACAAACAAAAAATAAACCTTTAACCTTCAAGAGTTCCAAGTAATGTCTGTCACAAATATATCTTTTAAAACTAATAATATTTACAGATAAAGGGAAAAACAAATTCAGACAATCAGAAAAAGCAAAAAGTCAAAAGAACTAATAAGTGGCAACAGCTTTCTCTAAGCAAAATAAAACAGAGAGGGAAAACAAAAGCATGTTTACTTTAATTACACCACTATAGGTAATAACATACATAATTATTAAACATCTAGTGTATCAGACACAGCTCTGAATACCTAGATTATTTCTTTAAATGCCAATATTAGACATTATATTAGGTGCTAAGCATAATACTAAACAAAACAGACGTGATTTCCAACTTGGTACTAATGACAAAATAATTGGCAATACACATAAACATGGGCACACAATCTATTCAAATAACCTACAATATAAAATATTCAAGGTGCTCTCTGAGCATGTAAGTGGGTTTCCAGTCTGTGTACGAGGGGTCTGACAAGTCTGAAAGGTAAGTATCAGGCAAAGTGATGATATGCAGGTATCAGTGATGGAGACAAGGAAAGATAAAGTTCCGAATGGAAGAAAACACAGACGATGTGGGAAGTCCTATGAAGGCTCTGAGATTTTACCCTATTTACTAGCTAACGAGTTAATAGACAGGTTTCGTGACTGCTAACAAAAGGCACGCAGTTACTGGTTCAGAGAAAAAAGGACATTATTATAGCACAGCAGGAAGCATGAATTTCGTGTTCATGTTCTTTCAGCTTACCTCCTGAAGTCCACAGAGGAGGGGAGGCAGCTTGCAATAGGTCCCACGAATGTAGCACATGCAGTGCATTTGCATGACAGCTGGGGAACACCAAGCATAAGAAACTTGTCTTTTATAAAGGACTACAAAGAATCTGCCCAACCTTTGCCTTCGAGAGAGACATTAACTTTATTATATTGAAGAGCAAACAGAACTGCCCTTTGCTTTGGAGGTAGACACTGTCACCTTCCAAGGCTGTTCATTATACCAATAGTCTTGAAAAGTTAGTCTAACAGGAAATGTAATGAGTGCTTCTGTTTGCAAGATGTGCGGAAACAGGGAAACCAAGCTTTCTTGCAGTTTATATGATATCAGATATGTCTTTCCCCAGGAAGGTTGAAATAATTCATCCATGAGTGTATCTGAATATATCCCTCTGGGCTACAGCCTGGAGAATTGTACTTTCATGATTGCCCCAAATTCTTTCACTCTAAGGATCTGCTGAGATTTTGGATCCCTCCTGAGATAGATTTTTATAATTTACATTTTCCCTGGGAAATTGTCTCTTTCAATGAGATATTAAAATTCACTCGCATAAGATTTTGTAAAGTGTTTTTATGTTACTTTTAATTTCCTCTTTCAGGGAGTATTATTCCCCTTTCATTTCTAATTTTGAGGGTGTGTACCTACTTTTATTTCTTAGGTTGTGAATAATTTTTTTATAGAGAACTTCTGCAGTTTTAGAGCAATTCTCATTTTTCTTATTTATTTTTCAAGTAGTATTTTCTAATTTTATTTTTATGATTTCATGATTTTGCTTGCTTTGTGATTTAAATGTTTAACTTATTTAACCATTAAAAATCCTTTCTGTTTCTTTTATCTGTAAATGATCACACTGTGGTGTTTCATTTTGTTTTGTTTCCTAATTGGAGTTTACATTTTCTCAGATGTTTTCTATCTGAGATAAAACCTCTTCAATTACTATTTACCTCTCCTGTGGCCATCCCAGTTCTTTTCGGTCTTTCACAATCACCCTTTATGAAAGAGTGGCCCACACTTAGGCTCCAATTCTCCTAACCTGTCTCTTAGTCTTCACATGTTTTGCCTTCTGACATTACTTCTGTCTATATTAGACATTTATACTCAGTGAAAATCTCTCCTCTTTATACTCTCTATCACTATTCTTGTCCAGACCATTTCTCTCCTTCTTCAGCTTCTGAATGTTGGATTCAATTAAGGCTCAACTCTCAAGTCTTTCCTTTTCTCAACAAGTTCCTATTTCTAGACAATGTAATTCACTTCTGGGATTTAAATTTGTTGAGCACTCCAAGATTCCTATCTCTAGCCAGGGCCACTGGATTCCGAATATGTATAATCAACCATCGTATATGTTTGTTGATTGAATGTGCATGATAATGCACATCCACTTGATGTGTTAAGAAACATCAGACTCAACTTATCCAAAATGTATTAAGATTTTTATTATTCTTAGAACCTCAAATGTACTCCCTCTTCTATGTTCTCTATCTTATAGTAACAACCAACCATCTAGCTAGTTCCCAACTTAGAAACTTAGAAGTTACTGTTATTTTTACTTGTTTCAACTAGCGTTCCCTATCTCTCACTATAGTCTGTCAATTGAATTTCTTGATTCCTGATTCAATTTAATTTCCTTATCAATTTTTGTCAGTTTTCACCAAGATGTAGATGTACTATATGTATCTAAACCATAATCTTCTAACTGGAATTACTGTAACTCTTTCCTTACCTTTCTACTTTCATCAAAATATGGGGCCATCTCTATTTCTCATTTTAGCCATGTGGTTACTTAAAAAGGTGCAGCTGATCAATTATATTTCCTCAATGTGTATAAGCATTTTATGAGGAAAGAAATCATAAGTCTTTTCATCCAGGATTAAGCAAAGAAACTTTATATTGCAAATTTTTCTTTTTCTTTCTTTCTTTTTTTTTTTTTTTGAGACAGAGTCTTGCTCTGTCACCCAGGCTGGAGTGCAGTGGCGCGATCTCGGCTCACTGCAAGCTCCGCCTCCCAGGTTCATGCCATTGTCCTGCCTCAGCCTCCCGAGTAGCTGGGATTACAGGCACCTGCCACCACGCCTAGCTAATTTTTGTATTTTTAGTAGAGACGAGGTTTCACCATGTTGGCCAGGCTGGTCTCAAACTCCTGACTTCAGATGATCCGCCTGCCTCCCAAAGTGCTGGGATTATAGGCATGAGCCACCACGCCAGGCCGCAAAATTCTTAAACAGAATTTTCATAAAGTGGATCACCAATATGTTTCATAATACATCATCATCTAGATGCATGCATTTCAGGAATTCATATTGTTAATCAGTTAACTCACATGATCATCTCAAGAGATTCACAAAGCATAACTGACAAATTTAAAACCTGTTAATTATAAGTTTGTTTCAGCAATTTGGAAATATAAAGAAAATATTCTGATAACTTATGGCAAACATTAGATCTCAATTTAAAATGATAAAATTTTATATCTGAGACAAGACAAAGATGCTCTCTATCATGATTTATGCTCATCACTGCACCGAAAATTCTACCTGGTTTAATAAAATTTAAAAAGCTTTCATTTATGAATAAAAAAGAATATAATTATTATGCATGATATTGAATACTTAGAAAATAGAAATAATTTCTATTGATTTTAATAAATGTTTTGCTGTTTATCAATGATGCCAGGTAAAAAGCTTATATGAAAAAAAGCCATGTTTGTGAATGTGTGTGTGCGTATATACAGAGAGAGAGAAATTGTGATTTATTTATATATATATATATACAAGTATGCATATATTACATAATAAATAGTATGTGTATTCTATATAATACATTTATATAGTTATTTTAATTGATTATGAAAAATTATAAGCCATGTAGATCCTCTGATTTCTTTATTAATTATAAGGGCTCCATCCTACCATGGTCTCACTCTGAAATTATATTCAGTAATTTTTGTATGAACTGCTAAAAAAAATTCTATTTCTCCTAGACTTAATTCAGCAGGGACTTCCTTAGCCCTCAAAATATCAAAATATGTAAGTTGTCACCATCTTGGTAATAGCATAACAGCATCAAAATAATAGTTTGCTGCTAACGTGAAGAAAATTAATGTTAAGAGGGACTATGCCTAAAGCTAGGCCATGCGGAAAAGGTAGATGTTTATCATATAGACAGGGGATTAAAAGTTGAGTTAGTTAATAATAATTTAAGTAGAGTAGCAAGTCACATCTGTAAAAGTACTATTACCTATACATTCCTATATGATTACATCTCATATGAATAGGCATTGTGCATGTTATTAGGCCCTGTATTTTACAAAAGGGGAAATTATAATCCTGGTATCCAAATATCCAGGTAACCTAAACTTCAAGTAGCAAGCTTGGCCAAGACCACCACTTTCTTTAACCTGTTAACTCTGACAGTTAGTCCAAAAATCACAAAACAGTGAGTAAAGGCGCGGCTGGATTCTGGGATTTCAAACAAAACAAAAATTGATAGGCACGATGTGACCTGTGAATTAATTTATTAAGAAAGGTATAGGGAGAGTCAGATTAT